>NC_000006.12:93964219-94115157 GCF_000001405.40 Homo sapiens | reverse complement strand
ATGTGGGTAACAAAGACCTGTACATAAATGTTTATAGTAGCTTAAGAAGTAGTAGCCAAAATGCTCAAAACAGAACAAAAAAACTGAAAAAACCTAAATGCCCATTCTTAAAACAGAATGCACATATATATGTATATATTTTTCAACACCGCAGCTAAATCCCAAAATAATTATGCTAAGTGAAAGAAGCAAAATAAAAATGAATACTTTATATGATTTTATTTGTATACATGTCTACAAAATGTAAACTAACCTATCTTGACAGAAAACATATTAATAGTTTCCTGGGAACGATTGGAGGCAATTAGAAAGTGCAGGTGGGAAGTATTACAAGTAAGCCTAAGGAAATATTTGAGGGTGATGGACATGTTCATTGCAGTGATTGTTTCATAGGTTTACATACATCAAAATGTATCAAATCATACACTTTAAATATATAGAGTACATTTCATGTCAGTAATACGTTAATTAAGCTGTTACTCATATGTAGCATCTGTAATACAGCTGCCAAGAGTTTGGTGATTGAGTTATGGGAGAGAAGTCGAACTCTTCTAGTTATATAGCATGTATCATCTCTTATTTTGTGAAACAAAAAAGGCCAACTGAGTTCATGATAGTGTGTAAGAGTAGCTTCCATTGTTTTATTCCCAGATTCATTAATCTTTTTCACTTTTCTTATCTTGTAAATAATTATTCTGTTAATATCATTTCATATGGAATATTTAGGTCCAATATATCAGTTTATGGCTATATAATCATGAAATAGTATTTGGGCATGTTGTGATGCTAAGCAATTGTTTCTCAATATAAATAGAATAATTGGGACATTCTACATGTATATAAAACTTTCATTTGATATATGTTATATATGTATATTTCATGATATATATTTAATAACATATGTTACATTATATATTTTACCTCCATTTGGGTACTTGAAAGAAAAACATTGAGTAAAGTGTATTCCTTACTTGGGGTAAAGCATATGGCGATTTTCATCAACATTCTGGATGTAATCTGTCATTTAATTCAAAGAATATTCCTTATTTCTGTGAATAAATATCTACTGGTTCTCAAATAATTGTGGGAACTCAATACCATGAACATTGGAAGTGAATTAGAAGATGTTATGCTACGTAGAATTCTATACATTGAAGGAGAAATTTTGTCAAGTTTCACAAGACCTCCACTTGGGTACAAAATGTGATTGTTTAGAAAAATATCTTCATGTGTAAGTGATGACTCCCTAAGATTCTTGAAGTAAAATGTAAGATATGGCAACATTGCTTTGTACAAAAATTTAAAGGTAATGTAAAGGTAAGGAGAATGGTACAGAATGTTAAAGAGAGGACCTTTAACATGTTAGGTTGATGAACTCTAAGAAGAAAATTGACTGGTCATCCACCCTTCAATTTTGAGTTCTCTATGCACGTGTCTTTAACAATTGCTTTTATATGTCATCACCTGCATAGATGATTCAGAAAATAAACCTATTAGGCATAAACAAAAACATGAATCCATGTAGGGCTAGGAAAAATATTTGGTATTTTTTATAGCACCTCTCTCTGTTCCTTCCCTCAAACCCAAGAAGCTACAAATACTTGTTGTGTGAATGTGGTCCCTACTGAATTAGATGGAGATTTAGAACCAACGCATTTAAACATCAAAGAAGATAACACCATGTAATACTTAGATTATAGAGGTATGTAGAGGATGTGGGGGTAAAACACTATTTAAAAATATATTGCATTATTACTTCACTCAGAAAAATATTTAAGGTATGAGAGGAATATCCTGGGAAATGAGGATATAGCAATAAATAAGACAGAGTCCCTTATTTCAAATTGTTTGTAACTCCAGTGGGAAAAACTGGAAAAAATTATTTTAAACCTGAGTAAGTGTTGGTAATAGTAATTGTGGGCTAATCGGGATGATTTTAAGGGGAGGAAACAGGAAATTACAAGTCTCTGAATTGTAAATCCTGTTACAGCCATGGAAAAGTAGCATACATCACTAATACTGTTGAAAATAATGTTATTTTGTATTTTTGTTATATTCTATCTTGTAGTTCTGTACAATTTCTGTTTTCATTACTTTAGTTATGTAATTCTGAACCAGACACAGTTTATTATTGATTTAATTTTTAAAATAAGTTATCCAAAAAGCTAGGAGAACAACATACTCACTAAGGTCCTATTGCAGCTATGCCATGAAATTCTAGCTAGTCCTCATGTTCTCAGGCATAGCTATCTTTCTCAGGGTGAGTTTTATATTTAGAAACAAAGAAAGAAACTACAGGACACCAACTTTCTTAAATAATTTTTTTTATTTCTAACTCTAATAAATGTAGATTCCTGTTTTTCAAAAAAATATTTTTGATAAAATTTAAGAGTGATATTCATGTAGAAAATATACACATTCATATATTAATACCAAACACATATAACTTTGTACTTTTCACAGACATCACTACAGAAACATAGTCAAAATTACATAATAAACTTTACAATATTGCCATTTATTTTTAAGTTCTTCTTTTACAATGGGATATCATTTTGCTAACTCTTTGCAAACTATTTGGCTTCTTTCATTTATCCAGGTTGCTTACGAAAGGACATACACAATCACTGTTCTCCACATTACAGCATGGGTAAAGTGATGACCCAGAATAATGGAAAATAATGGATTCCAAGGAAAATATGACATAGCACTTCCTTTAGGATAAATAAGTATTATGACATAAATAATTTAATAAGAATGAGTGAAACATTATAATTACTAAATATCTATTTAATGACAACTGCTATAGTCATCTCTCTCACAGGTGTGAGTGTGTGCGTGTGTGTGTGTATATGTGTTCATGTGTACATGTATATATATGTATAGTCTGTGTTTGAGTACACATATGCACATGTATCCAAATGTATATATGTGTATGTTTATATTATGTATAGATGCATGTATATCAACATATGCATAGATGTATATAAGATTTATACACACAGATACACACACATAAACACACACATATATATGTGTGTGTATATATATATATATATAAAATGGAGAAAAGACAAGTTTGTATTCTGATAATATGGTTTAACTGACAGAAACATACATTTGTGTATACACATACACATGATTTAACAGGCAGAAGAATATATCTATTGCCTGTTAAACCACCTATGGTTGGAATAAGAACTTGCCTTACTTCCTTGATGAGTTACTGATTTATCATGACACATAAATTACTAAAATGCAAAGGGCACAAGGCTACTGTATTAGTTCATTCTGGCACTGCTATAAAGAAATACCCAAATTTGTGCCATATAAAGAAATGAGTTTTAATTGGTTCATGGTTCTGTAGGCTGTACAGGAAGCATGATGGATTCTGGGGAGGCCTCAGGAAACTTTCAATCATGGCAGAAGGCAAAGGGAAAGCAGGCATGTCTTACATGCTTGGAGCAGAAAGAAGAGACGGTGGGAGGGCTACACACTTTTAAACAACCAAATCTCATGATAACTCAGTCACTATCACAAGAACAGCACCAAAGAGGAAATCCATCCCCCAGGTCCAATCGCCTTCCACCAAACCTCACCTCCCACATTGAGGATTACAATTGGAAATGAGATTTGGGAGGGGACACAGACCCAAAACATATCAGGTGTGAATAATGATATTTTATGACTTCTTTATATTCTTTTTACAAAAATTCTTTCATTAAAAAATTAGTTATTTCTTAATTGCTTGATTACTAATCCTAGTCTTCATCTGGTCATTGCACACCTCATGGCTGTAAAATTTTTCCCCAGAATAATTTTCTGGTGGCTATGAGAATGCCCCTCACAATCATGAAAGCACACAGAGGGTATTTGATGAAGGCTCCAACTGTAGTACTAAGAAGTTCATTGAGCATTTCTGCACTGAGGACATTCCTCCCACAGGCTTGCTCCCAGCAATGAACAGGCACAGTTAGGAAACTAAAGCAGCCCTATTGCTGGGGAAACTGAGCCTCCTCTAAGGATTGACTTTGCCCTGGGGGTCCCATGGCATCCTTGCCAAACTGTCCTTAGACTGCACAAACCCACAACCCTTTAAGATGTTTTCACACAACTTTCTTTCCCTCATTCTTTCCTCAGGGTCAGACTTGCTTTGAGGTCTGATGGCCTTCCCAGCCATCAGACATGGGTCCTGCCTGGGCTTCTGTATGATAAACAAAAGAAGTATCAGGATTAGGTATAGATGTAGATATAGCATATTTGGATATGCCATATATATAATATATAATTATACAAATACTACACGTATTTGTATAGTTATATATAGTATATGGTGCAAGAGTAAAGAGGTTTTTGCATTGTTGAAATTGCAATTTGATATTGGAATGCATTCTTAAATAAATGTGGTTATGTTATACATCATTTTAATGCACATTTCTTGTTTTTTTTTTTTGCTAATGACTTATTACTTGGTGTTTATTTTATATTTATTTTAGACTATGGAAATAATGTTAGACAAAAGCAAATTTGAGTGATTTTCTTATTCGTGTTCAAAATGGGTCATAAAGCAGCGAAGTCAACTGGCGATATCAATAATGCATTCGACCCAGGAGCTGCTAACGAACATACAGTGAAGCGGAGTTCAAGAAGTTTTGCAAAGGAGACAAGAGCCTTGAAGATGAGGAGCTTAGTGACCAGCCATGGGAAGTTGACAACGACCAATTGAGAGCAATCATCAAAGCTGATCCCCTTACAACTACACGAGAAGTTGCTGAAGAACTTAACATCAACCATTCTAAGGTCGTTCAGCATTTGAAGCAAAATGGAAAGGTGAAAAAGCTCTTGAGTGCCTCATGAGCTGACTAAAAATTTTTAAAAAATCATCATTTTGAAGTTTCATCTTCTCTTATTCTATGCAACAACAATGAACCATTTCTCAATCAGATTGTGACCTCCGATAAAAAGTGGCTTTCATACGACAACCAGCGATGACTAGCTCAGTCGTTGGACAGAGAAGATCCAAAGCACTTCCCAAAGCCAAACTTGTGCCAAAAAAGGGTCCTGGTCACTGTTTGGTGGTCTGATCCACTGCAGCTTTCTGAATCCAGGTGAAACCATTACATATGAGCAGTATGCTCAGCAAATTGATGAGATGCACCAAAAATTGCAACACTTGCAGCCAGCATTGGTCAATGGGAAGGGCCCAGTTCTTCTTCAAGACAAGGCCCTACTGCACCTCGCACAACCAATGCTTCAAAAGTTGAACAAATTGGGCTACGAAGTTTTGTCTCGCCTGCTATATTCTCGCCAACTGACTACTACTTCTTCAAGCATCTTAAAGACTTTTTGCAGGGAAAACACTTCCTCAATCAGCAGAATGCAGAAACTAAGGCAGAAAAGGCTTTCCAAGAGTTCATCAAATCCGTAAGCATGGATTTTTACACTACAGGAATAAACATATTTCTCATTGGCAAAAATGCATTGATTGTAATGGTTCCTATTTTTATTAATAAAGATGTGTTTGATCCCAGTTATAATGATTTAAAACTCACAGTCCAAAACCACAATTGCTTTTGCATCAACCTATGTACTACTTCTGTTAAGTACTGCTTGTAGTGGTGCAGTGGTGTGTAGTGGCTTGTAGTGGTGTCAGGCCCTTGTGGAGTAAACCTGGGTTCATGAAAACATGGAACAGGAAATATATCAGGCTGTCTCTGAAGATGTTGATTGTTCAGCTTACTCTGGACATTTTGAGCCTGTAAAAAGGAACACTTTCTATAATAAGAGCTAGCTGTGATGAAAGAAGTTGCAGAAGCCACTCTTACAAAGGTAACAGATGTCAGCCTTGGGAGCTGCCTCCACAGGCTCTCCTGGCTACCAGGCTAAACACTAACGAAAAATTTTAGTACAACTTCTCTGGGAACTTGCTCGGACTGATAAAGAAGACAAAAGACTGTATTTCTGAAGAATTGCAAGAACTAGCTGGCATACACTGCCATGACTGAGGGTAGTGAGCGTGGATTGGATTTTAATGATGCTTGATAAAGGGACCCAAAATTTCTGACAGGAAAGGCAAGAATTCATTGACATGTGGGCACTTTCTCAATACATGGCATTTAAACTCCCAACAAGGATTTCAGGTGGCTCTCAAAAGTTTTAAAATGCCCTACAAATGGTAGAAGAGGAAATAAAGAAGCTGAGTAAAGAGAGCATATGGGATGCATGTATTATGAAAGGCTAGAATGATACCAGTGGATTCTATTTCATGAGATTATTATATTGCAAGTGTTCATCCTGTCAGCAATGGAGACCAACAGTTTAGCTCCAATAAGGCACTATTTCTCTAGGTGACTAATCAGCCACTTTTTGGCAAGTTTTCCACACTGGTTGCCATCTGTCCCAGAAGTGCCAGGTGTCCATTCTGATAGGATTAGATGCCTGTTCTGTGCATAAATTTGCTTTTCCAACCTACGAAGCTTTGGCAAGTACTAATATCTAGGAGCTTATGGAATGCTTGGTCCATAGGTACAGAATCACAAAAAGCACAAAATCTGATTAGGGGATACATAAGAGACGTGGAAGTGGGTCCATAACTTTGGGATTCAGTGGTTGCATCTTATACTGTACCATGCTCAAAAAACACAACAATGGTGTTCAAAAGTGAGACTAAAACCACATCTGAAAGGATAAGGTGACATCCTTCAGAACAAAGTATATTTATTATACTGCAGAACACTTTTTGCTCTATGTTTCCAATAGGAAGGATACATTGTCCAGGTAGAAGATGGAGTATTTTCTCCTATCACGAGCTCTGATGACCTAATTGGGGATTTTGTGACTTGTGTCCTCTCAACTTTGCACTCTGTAGGGTTGGATGTCCTTGTTTCCAAACAAGCACACGTTTACCAGTGAATACAGTAAGGGTCCCACTGACCTAAAATTTAGAGCTATTTTCAGGGCACTTTGGCATCCTGTTAACAGGGAGAGGAAAGCAAGAACAGTCACCATCCTGGCAAAAGTAACTAGCCCTAATAGAAAGAGTAGGCATATTTTAGGGCATTTTTTAACACAAAGAGGACAGGAAAACAAATTAAACACAGAAGATCTACTTGGTCACCTCCTGGTAATCCCTCACCCTATTATAACTGAATGGACATGTTCAGAACTGAGACTGGTACCATTATCAAGGGTATGAACACCTTAGTAACGAAGGTAACACCAGGTAAACCACCCGAACCTGCTCAGGTGATCACTAAGATTGAGGGGAATTTAAAATGAGTAGTAAGGGAGGAAGAAGATGAGTACCATGTATAGCTCGGAATTCAAGTGCAGAAATGAAAACTAATTTATCCCAATAAGTTTCTTCTTCTGAGGTTCCCCTCAGGAAGAAAGTTTCAGAAAAAACAGAGAAACTAGTTCTGAACTTTTGCGAAGAAGTAGACCTCCACAACTTAGAAGTTGTGGCAAAGCTTCTAAAACTATTTCCACATTAGCACTAAACCCACATTTCTCAAGGGCTACTTCAAGCACATGTCTGAGCTCAGTGGGATACTATACTATGTTATATCTGCTCCCGGAAGGCACAGGATTTCTCTGTTGGCTGCATCTATCTTGCATTCTCCTGAAGTGCCTTGTTAACTTCTTTAGAATGTATGGCCATCTAGGACACCACCACCAAACTTCCTTCCCTCCCTCCCCTCTGAGTCAAGACTTGCATTGTTGTCCAGTAGCACTCCCAGACTTATTTTCTTTCAAAGCATTTTGCTGAATAAAATCCTTGAGCACTGAATCCTTTTTTGTGTTTGTTTTCTGGAGGAACTAGATTAACATAAATTGTAAATTATAACTCCAAATGTGACCTTGGTCTCATTCATAAGAATCAGTTTTACCAAAAATTTAATTACTTCTTTATCATGTTATTAGCCTACAAGAGTAAATATTTTCAGACTTATTAAAGGAATTCAGTTTTTAATTGAGGCTACTGAGATCCAGAGTTTTGTGATTTGACTAAGATCATACAGTTAAGAATTTGCTTCTCTTCTGAATCTTACTGATTTTCTATGAATTGCTTCAAATTTCACAAAACTTAGTTTTTTAACCACCTGTCATTCTATTATCAAATACCAACAGGAAATGGGGACAAAGAAAGTTTTGAGGTCCCACTTATAATAATAAACAACTGGCACCCTGAATTTACTAGGAAATTTCTTAGAAACACTCTTCCTTTCCTGTATATAACTTCTTTAATAATGCTTACTGTCCAGGATTTTGCTGTCTGTCAAAACACAATAAAATATCTTAGTGATGTCAGGGATGTAGGTCTATGGATTCACCTGAAATTGCTCCAAGTCCTGATGCCACTGGCCTGGGCTCAGGTATTAACATGGATGATCCCCATGTTGTGTTAGCACTCTCAAAAAATAGATGTGACATTTATTTGCCTCAAACTTCAGCAGAAGGAAGAATAAAGGAGTCTGTGCCTTGTGAAATTTGACTTCACATTCTAGTTTGTCTGAGAGAGAGTCTTGATTTATTTCTGTTGTTTCAATGCAATTATTAAGATCACCCATCTCATCCTCAAAAGTGAGCTAGTTTTGATGATAAATTATATAATCATCAAAATATTAGAATAATATAATCTGCATACTAGATGTCTCAGTCATATTGCTGCCAAAAAAATCCCAACCAACCAAACAGAAACTATAGCTGAAACTGACTTCAACTGAAATCAAGACTGAATTTTGAGTTCTAGCTCTCTACTGCTATTGTACATGACCTTTAGAAACTTTGTGCATACCTCTCTTTGTCTTATATTATCGTTCTGTAAAATGGTCATTACAATAGAACCTGCCTTTGTGGGCTACTTGAGAAAATTAAATGCTATTACATATAATGCTTAGTTATAAAAAATGTTCACCATTCCTTTACAATAGCTTTGCTTAGGGATATCAGAAAAAAAAAAAAAAAACACCCTTGTGCAAAGATAGCCATTTGTTGGATCAGTTGGAGTATCTGATCCATATGCAAGTCACAGGTCAGTTACCCTGAAAAAAACACTTTGCTCATTAAGCATCTAACCAATGAACTAAGCCAATCAGTTTGGATAAGGGATTCTGAAAGGAATTGGGGAGAAAATAATGAGCCAAAAAAAGAGCATATAAATATATTTTGCAGGTTTTTTTTTTGAGATTGTAGCATAAGCTTAGAGCTGTATCTGATTCTGAATGACTTTGTTTCCAGTCTATGTGAATCCCTTCAGTAAAATTTCCCTTTACTTAGTATTATTTGAGTAAATTTGCATATTCTGGACCCAAAAGTCCTTACAGCAGACCAAAACAGAGTTTAATTTCCTCCCCCTTACAGCCCTGTCTTCACATTATCCTTAAACATCTCATGTTCCTCAATTTCTTTTTCCTTAGGTGATTTATTTTCCAGGCAACCCGTCACTTTAAATGCAAATGAACACTTGCATGGGCCCAAGAGGACACCTCTACCTCCAAGTCTAGACACATCTTAGGTTTACACCAAGATCATTGTCATATTTAGCCTGAAGGATTGTATTGCTCATATCTGATTTTATTTTCTGATTAATTTTTCAGACTATTTGTGACAGTCTTTCCTATACTACACTGTGAGTTCCAAATTATGCAGACTACACATTTATTCCAGGCCCAACAAAGAAAAACAATAAAAACTATAATCTTGAAAAATTCCTCAGCCATTCAAAAAAGGAGACTCCTATGTATAGCTAACATCAATATAGAAAAACAACATAGCATTTATTGAAATCAGGACTTAATTTTGAGTTCTAGCTCTCTACTGCTATTGTCCATGACCTTTAGAAACTTTGTGCATATCTCTCTTTGTCTTATATTATTCTTCTGTAAAATGGTCATTACAATAGTACCTGCCTTTGTGGGCTACTTGAGAAAATTAAATGATATCACATATTATGCTTAGTTATAAAAAATATTCACCATTCCTTTACTTTCTTCAAAATAAAGACAACATGGGCATTTAAAACTCAGAACACAACATGCATTCACATTTGACAAATACCTTCTAAATCTTTTTCAGCAGGAACATTTAAGATTTTAGATTGCAAGCAGTCTGTACTACATTTTGCACTTACCTGAACCCTTAAACACAGAATACATAGCATAAATTAAACTATTTTTGGTGGCTTATTTACCAATATAAGTAATTACTATATTATACTAGTTTGAATTCAGTGATGACAACAATGCCTGGTTTTCAGCTCTGTTAGCAGGACGTAAATTAATGATTGATTTCCCTGAGCCTGTCATTTTCTGCCTTCAAGCATTCTTAATTTTTAGCAACAGCCACCCAAACTCCAACCCTTATAAATACAATTTCTCCACTGTCTCTAAGAGGCCAGAGACATTAGGCAAGCCAGAACACACTCATCTACCTGTTTACCATCATTTTTCACCACAGGAGAAAATCTTAGCAATTACACTGCCAAAATCTATCAATACTTCATCTACCACCAATGATAGCATTTTTGTTTCTGCTGACCCATAAGTGATCCAACTCCAGAATCCCATGCTTAATGTTTGCTTCCTAGAACGACTCCTGGAAGCATCATTTTTAGGTAAGATTCCCTAGAAGCAGAGCCTGAGACAGGAATTTGGTAAAGGTAGTGGGGGAGGCAGGATAGAAAAGGAGAATGAACTGAGGAAAGATACAGCCTCAGGTAAGTCTATCCTTGGCCTAATCTACAGGGTGATCACAAATCTCTACCAGAGCTGCAGTTTCTACAGGTAAGTGATCAGCCTTCTGTATTCACCTATCTGTCATTGGCTTGTTGGGTGCACCCAGGAAGAGGGTAAGGATATGGGGTGGTTAGCCTCCTGGAAAAGGGGGCTGCCATCAACAGAGATGTTCTCTAAGGAAAAGGGGGAACTGTGTCTGCACTGGCCATAAAAGAGGAATCTGAGTGGGACACAAACAGCTTTTCTATCTTCAATATTCAGATGAGAAAGCTTGGATATAGGGAATGGAGAGTTTCAGGAACCTGCTACATCTCTCATTTCTTGAGTTCATGTTTTAAGTTAATTTTCTCTTTCCAATGCACGTGGTCAAAGCAAGCCTGTATACCACCTCAAACAGGGGAACAAGGAGTCTAACATGGATTTGGGAAAAAAAGAAAGAGTGGCAAAAATGAGCAACAACGCAGGAAAACTCTATGGCTACACTTTATGGTAAAAAGACAAATGATATTGAGAGAAATCAAGGAAGTAAAGAGACAGAATTATGTCTAAAATAATTTTACTTCAATCTTCCTCAAGTTATATCTCAAAAGACAGAGGCAAGGAAAGTTTTAGAACAAGGATGAAAAACCTGAAGAAAACATGATGAAAAGACAGAGATGCAAAAAAAGGAGGCCTTTGAAATACGCCTACAAGAAAATACATCTTGATTCCGACTATGGAAAAAAACAAGTCTATATATATATATACACATTTTTAAAACAGAGACTCAATGTAGCTATTTTAGAAGGGGGTAAGGGAGGGGCATGGACCTACAAATATAGGAGAAGAATTATATAATTTCTGGTTCTCTACATCAATAGAAACTAACTTCAAATTAAGAAATGTCCTTTAACTCTTTGAGAGATGTTTTAAAAATTAATACAAGGCACTGCAATATGCCTATGCTTATTTGTAAAATTATTTAAATGGTGCCTAAATCGTTATTGGGAAATAATTTTAGTATTTTCATTTTCTTTCTAAAGGGAATGTGCTGAAAAACATTTAATATTAATTTCCAAACATAGATGCTTCAAAAAAGAGTTTGAAGACATTGCTTTTTGTCCCCAGATACTTGGTCATCAGCATTCTTTTTATAATCCGCTAGCATTCCTAATCAAACCTTCAGAAGCTTAAATTATTATTGAGCAATTTATTTAGGATTATGGCTTAATTCATGACTCTACAGTGAACATACTATCAACTTTTAGGAGTAAAATCATGAGTAACAGTATAATCTTCAAGACCAAATAGGGTTTGAGCAATTTAAAATACCCAGGATTTGAAGGAATTAATAGATAAGAGGATAGATTCATTATGTGGTCAAGAGGTCATTTCATAAAAATATTTTAAATTAAAAAATTAAAAACCTTTTGGTTTTAAGACTCAGGATAAAATGGATTGGCAAGAATTAAAGAAAATGTTGAGAAAGGCTGCAAATTACTCACCTGATTGAAGGACTAATTAAACTTATCTCTAAGGCACTGGAAATTTTTATCTCTGAATTTTACTGTCTGTGCATGAAATGTTCTTTTATTGTTTTCCAAAGGAAAATATGCATAAAAACCAAATTCTCTCCCTCTCCCTCTGAGAAAAATTTCAGATAAAATGTGTAAAGGACAGTTTTGTGCCCCACTCATGTCTTTCTTATGCTATCCCTGAGTGATGAATCTAAGCCAAACTGCTATGAGAGCTGGAAGCTAACAGCTCATGACAGCACCATTCTGGGAATTGTCTTGGGTATACTAGAGCTATCTTATGCAGAAATACCTGAAGGGCACGCCTTCACTCTGGGAGCAGTATAGTAATTTAGGAATAACAAGAGTCCTATTCCTTTGCCTCAAATTTTGATTCATTGATGCAGCAGAAAATCAGATTGTGGCTAGACTTGAGCTGAATTCACATGTTTGCCATGCTGCTCTTCCTCACTTCTCCACAGGTTTCACTTCAGAACATTCTGTCAATAAACAATTCCCATAGCAATCAGTGTGTCTAGGGAACTTGTTCTCAAAGTTTTGTCTGCACCAGAATGAATCTCCAGGAGGGCTTCTTTTTTTCTTGAGATGGAGTCTCAGGCTGGAGTGCAGTGGGCCCTATCTCGGCTCATTGCAACCTCTGTCCCCAGATTTAAGCAACTTTCCTGCTTCGGCCTACTGGGTAGCTGGGATTACAGGCAGAGACCACCACTCCCCGCTAACTTTTATATTTTTAGTAGAGACCAGGTTTTGCCATGTTGGCCAAGCTGGTCTTGAACTCCTGACCTCAGGTGATCTGCCCACCTTGCCTTGGCTTCCCAAAGTGCTGGGATTACAGGTGTGAGCCACCATGCCAGGCCAGAAGGGCTTCTTAAAACACAGATTGCTGATTCAGTAGGTCTGCAAGGGACCCTAAGAATCTGTATTTCTAACAAGTTTGCAGGTACTGCTGTAGGTACCATTTTAAGAATTATTACTCTGTGATAATCAAGCTAGTACAGTGAGTAAACATTTATAAACTGTAGGCCTCTGTGATTTCTAGAATAAACTGAAACAATAATAAATTATTAATAGAATTTAACATTTAAAATGTATAAAAGAATGTTATAGACCAAAGTGGTAAAACTACTCATTGAAGTCAGAAAATAAAAGGAAATTTGAGCTAAATTAATTAAATGATTATATTCAATAAATATTTTATGAACTTATTGTCAATTTTAGTTATAGCCCAATAGTACAGAAGTTTGAGAAGAGAGACTCTCCACCCCCACCCCCACCCCCAACCTCAAGAGGGTATATAATCCTGTATCTGGCCATTTCTCCTTTGAAGCGAAGTGGACAACCAGATGCAGTGCTTGAAGTTCTGCCCACTGGGAGAATTTCCCTTTGCCACTCTCCTTCAGGGGTGTCACAGAGAAGGGCTGTAGTGTTGCAGCTGTCTGTTTTTGAGCGACGTCTGTATGCCTTGCAGAACCATCTGGCCTGACTTCTTTTCCTCTGTCAACTGATCATAGGGAACTCCTCTTGAGGCCATAGATGCACACTAGGAGAGAAAAGGCTGTGTATCAGAAGTGGGAATCATGAGTATCTGGGCCTTCTTCATCTAACCTACTTGTGCCTTTAGGACTTGCTCAGGACAGATCATGTATATACCACTTTCCCTTGATGATAGAGCAGTGCTATTATGCATGCTCAACTTTTTGGCTTGGTAAGTCAAAACTTGGTGGTAGGCAGCTAAGGTCATCTAGTAACTTAGTGGCCCTGGTTAAGTGTTCACCTTCTACTAAGGCTTAGTAGTAGACAAGAGCTGTTTCTCAAAAGGAGGGTAGTTATTCATAGAGGATGGTGGGGCTTTGCTCCAAAATTCAAAGGTCCCGTGATACAAATATATGAGTCTGCTAAAGGCTACAAACAGCATCCCTATTTCCCACTGACATTTCAAGCACCATTGAATCTATTAGATAATATGACCCAAGAAGCAGAGGAGTTCACACAGAAGCCTGGACCCATTGCAGAGCCTTCTCTTGTTCTGGGCCCCACTCAAAACAACCAGCTTTTCAAGTCAGTTGGTAAATGGGCCTGAGTAACACACCAAAATGAGAATATATTGTCTCCAAAATCTAGAAAGGACCATTAGATGCTGTGCCTCTTTGTTGGTTGTGTCTTGACATACCAAGTTATACCCCAAAAGAAAGACCCAAAGATGTTTTGGAACAAGGATGAAAAATCTAAAGACAACCTGATGAAAAGAAGATGCAAAAAAGGAGCTGTTTTAAATAAGCCTACAAGAAAACATATCTTGATTCTGATGTATCACCACTGGATCCCTAGAAATTTTACTGACATAGAAATCCCCTAAATTTTTGTTGAATTTATCAGGCAAAATATTTTCTCACTCTCTGACATGCAAATGTCTCACCAATAAGTCTAGAGATGTTATTTCTTCTTGCTCACTAGGTCCGAACCAGCAGAATATCATTATAAGGAATCAGTGTGATATCTTGTGGAAGGGAAAGGTAATCAAGATCTCTGTGAACTAAATTATGACATAAGACTTGAAAGTTGCTATATCTTTGAAGTAGGACTGGACAGGTGTATTGTTGGCCTTGCAGCTGAAAGGAAATTGCTTCTGGTGGTATTTACTAACAGGTATAAAGAAAAATCTTTGCCTGATCAATAGCACCATACCATGTACTTAGAGGTGTGTTAATTTGCTTAAACGATAAAATCATATCTGGTACAGTGGCTGCAATTGAAGTCACTGCCTAGTTAAGCTTATTATATTCTACTGTCATTCTCTAAGATCCACCTACTTTACAGGCCAAATACAAATAAGTGAGTTCAATGGATATGATGGGAATCATCACCCCTGCATTTTCAAGTTTTTGATGGTGGCACTAATCTCTGCAATTTCTCCAGGAATGCAGTATTTCTTTTGGTTTCCTGTTTGTTTGTTTGTTTGTTTTAAGTGCGGCACTTGTTCTTTCCCACCATAAAGCCCTCACTTCATAATTCAAGGGATTGTGCCAGTTACTGAGGATATCTATTTCAATTATCCATTATGGAACCAGGGGAAAAAACACAGGATGAGTCTGGGAACCCACTGAGTCAAATATAAGATGAACTTGAGCTAAAATTCCATTGATCACTTGACCTCTATAAGCCCTCATTCTGATTGGTGGATCACAGTGACATTTTGGGCCTCCTAGAATTAGTACCAGTTCAGAATATTAAGTAGGCTGAAAAGGGTCTGAATCATTTCCTTTTCCCAATGCACAGTTATTCTGGTTAAAGGCCATAGACTCTTTTAGGGGAATTTGGAGGGAAGATTGACATTATACATTTTTTAGAGCATACGAGCGTTCTTTTTTAAGGGGAGCCAGGCTCTAAAACTGTTCCAAGTCTGGAAATTGAATGTGGGGCTGAGACTCTCTGTTTTTATTATTTGGTGTAGACTTTGTTCACTAGACATAAAACTTCTTATACAGATCAAGTGAGAATTTACTAAGGTTCTTACCCTTTTCTTTTCTATTACATCTTAATCAACTAGGCAATGCCGTATGCTGCAGGAGTCAGGCTATTCTGACTGTGCTTTGACTCTGCTGTCCATTACACTAACCACGCCCACCTTGCCTTTGGTGGGTAAGTTCCGCTACTTGCTCCCTACACCACAGGATTCAATTACTCCCATTGCATTTAGATTTTCCAGTTCAGTGACTGCAATCACGGTAAGACCTGAACTAAAGAGAAGAACAATAATAGAGCTCTTCAAGGATGTCTAGTCTTCCCTCACAAATGTATTTCTTCCAGTCATGGTGAACAGTATGGACCTTAGGTATGGACCCACCCTAGTGTGGGTGAGTAAGTCTTAAATGAAACATCTGCTCTAACATTCTAATCTTCTTGAATTCTTTTCTCTACACTAAACCAATGCAGTCCAGCATTGCCAGTTCATTTGCTGCAGACCATCTTTTGGTCTATACTTCAGCCAATCAACCAAACAAATTGTTAGAAACCTTTTTAAATCCCTGAGCTTCCACATTAAATGCAGAATATCTGCTTAGTGAGACCATATCAATAAGTTCATTCCATTCAAATTTGATTTTCCTTCCACCAATAGCCCAAGCCCATAACATTCATTCACATACATGTTCCCCAGATTTCTGCTCTATAAATAAGAAAATTCAAGTAATTTGGTGTGTAGTGCACCTTTTCATGGTTCACACATTTTACCTCAGTTTCAGGACCCTGATGGGACTTGAGTCTACCTATAAGTCTAGAAGAAATAAAGGTTAGTGTGAGTGGATTCTGAAGAAAATCAGCGTTGTCTTGCATGGCAGCTTCCTCAGGGAAGGCTGTTATAGTTCCCTCAGGCAATGCAGTGGTTAATCCTCTTAGGTTGGGGTGGAGAGGAAGCTTCTATCACTGAGAGTGGGTAGGTAGAGAGGCATTTTCCACTGGAGGGAAAAAGAGTCATTAGAATTTAGGGGTTCAGTGTCCACTGCTTTATCAAGATCTTCCCACACATCCCCATTTCTACTTACAAGATCTTGTTTTTTTCCATTGAATGCCCTCACTTCAATAGTAGACACTCTGCAATGCTGGAACTTCAGCTTGAAATTCAGCCAGTTACAGAATGAGATTGTGTGCCTGCAGGAGAGAGGGGTCTCCTTCAGAGCACACATAGAAGGTTTTAGGTTATTCATGCAGCACTTGAGCTGGAAATTGAAATTCCTGAGCTCATCTTTTTATTTTACCACTTTGTCCAGCAACATTAAGAGAGGCCAGCCAAGCTCATTATATTTGTCAATTTCCTAAAAATGTTTGAAAGTGTCATATATCCAGTGACCCAGTTCCTTTCTTCTTCCAAGTGGTTGATTAGGAGTATACAATAGAGATACTTGGTATATCTTTATTGCCATATTATACTATAGACTATCAGTACTCTACTAGAAAATGAGGAATCAGTTTTTTTTTTTTTTCTTTGAGACAGAGTGTTGCTCTGTCACCCAGGCTGGAGTGCAGTGGTGCGATCTCAGCTCACTGCAAGCTCTGCCTCCTGGGTGCACACCCTTCTCCTGCCTCAGCCTCCCAAGTGGCTGGGACTACAGGCACCCGCCACCACGCCCAGCTAATTTTTTGTATTTTTAGTAGAGACGGGGTTTCACCGTGTTAGCCAGGATGGTCTCGATCTCCTGACCTCGTGATCCACCTGCTTCGGCCTCCCAAAGTGCTGGGATTACAGGCGTGAGCCACCATGAGTCAGTATTTTTAAATCTAGTTAAATAGCCAATTCACAAACCCCAGAATCAATTAAGCAAATACAGATTTAACATTCTGTTTCTCTAGAACCACTTTTTAGTACCAAAATCTTTAGTAAAATAGAATTAGAAGCAATAGAATCTATCTTTATCTATCTGTCTGTCTAATCTCTCTCTTAATAGTTTAACAGAAATTATTATTAAAAAAAAAACTGACTTACAATTATGTAGGCTGGTAAGTCCCCAGATTTCAGTTCACAAGCTAGAGACCCAGAACGGCCATTGTAAGTTCCAGCTCAAGTCTGAGTTTGAAGGTAGGAGAAGACCAATGTCCCAGCAAAAAAATTGTCAGATATAGAAGGATAATTCTTACTCAGCTTTTTGATGCTATTCAGCCCTTCAATGGATTGAAAGAGGCCCATCCACAATGGGGAAGACGATCTAATTTATTTTATCTACCTATTCCAATATTAATGCCATCTAGAATCACTCTCATAGATACACCCAGAAATAATGTTAATCAAATATCTGTGCATCCTGTAGCCAAGCTGAGATTACAGATAAAATTAACCATCTCAGATACTACATTTGAAAAAAAATAAAAATAACCATCTCAGATATTATAATTGGAAAAAAATAAAAAGAACTCATATGATACTGCATCTGTTTAAAGATAGAATGTAAAGATGCAGTAGAAAATAACACAAAAATATGGAAGAAAAAAGAGAGATGTGATAATTTTCTTCAGGAATTTGGTAGAGCAAGGATTCAGAGACAAGAGTGAGGCAAGTGGTATGCTCCTGCTTGCCACTGGAGATTGAAAGGCACAGTCAAACCCATCTTGTTTATCTATTAGTGAATTTTGTAGGAATTGGTAACCTTTTTTCCCTGCTAGTACTAGTAGCAATTTAGGTAGGTTTAGACCAAAAAGACCTTGTATGAGAACTACTTACTAAGGAAAGACAAATGGTACTTACAGCTTGACTATCCTTGCTTTTCATTTTCTCTATCATAAATGAAACTTCTGCAATACATTCTAAGAGATGTTTTGCCCCAAAGAACTAATCATCCTTCCATATCCCAATCTTCCACTTTTTTTTCCTGAATTTGTTTATTTATAATAAGACTAATGGAAAGATATTTTCCATACTTTTTTAACAATGAAAGTGTATATATATATATATATTTTTTTTTTCCTTATCCAACGTCAGCTGGTGAATTTGTGGGTAAGCCACATTTACTTCCAAGATTACCTTAGGATAAAAAATGCTAACATAACTTTGTTCTTTTTATCTCCTTCCTAGGAAAGATGTTATATTTTGTGAGATTTTACAGATCTTTGTGTGATGTTTTCCTGGCCTGGTAATTTGCATTAATGGATATTCAAGAAACCAATTTATACAGCTCACTGATGTAAGTTATAACAAAGTCTGCAGACATATGAGGACACATTTTCAGTAGGCTTTTGAAAATGTGCTGACACATTTTAGGAATGCATCTGTTTTTGCTTGCAAAAACTCACATTTATGTGTGCAACATGAGAAACTGAATGCACAAACAGGTGGTTTTAAATGGTTTTAAATACTCAAGCAGAATATAAATGGAGGCACTCACAACCTTACTGGAGCCTTTGAAAATTATCCTGAATCTCACAGTTAGATCGGTGGCAAATGTTTTGGTATTTCTAATATTTGCGACCTTATTATTTAATTTGAAATAGCACTAGATATAAAGCCTTATAGACATCTTTCTAACTTTAATAATGATTTACTATGTTACACTGAATAAGTTGTAAGTTTGCTTTACACTTTGATGTTCATATATTAACTGAAAATAACACCTCAACCTCAGAGAGTAAATATATATAAAAATATTCCTATTCAACACCAAATCTCTTTTAAAGATATGTATAAAGCTATAAATAATGTATAAAATGATGCATTGTAAAGACATTAGATCTTTAGTCACATCCATGTGAATATTAAACACACACGTACAAATGTATGCACAACTAGACATAACAAACACTTGTTTACGGCTCTATAGGCATCAGAAATTCTGTTAATTAATGGAAATCCCAAAAGCTAATAATGACTTGCATCAAGGCACATCGAGTTTATTAAAAAGAGATATTCAATACATATTTGAAGAATTTCAGATAAAATGGTAGAAACATAAAGAATATACTGAGATTCAAAGATAATAATATGACTTTAGGGAAAAGAGGGCAGTGTATGATGTATATGGGACAGTCAAGAGGGAAGTCTTGGGAGATTGAGTTTGACTTGAATACTGAAAGTGGTGTGTCTGTAAAAGTAAAGTGAGAATAAATGACATTCACAAAAAATGAAAATTGTAAAAAAAAAAAGTAGCAGTAGGAATGTAAAGGAATACATATGAAATTTGTTAAGATGATAGAATTCACAAGATCTGATGAGAAGTAGGAAGGAGCCAATTACACCTCCAAGTTTCTGATTTGAGTTATTGTATGGATAATGACAGAGTTAGGAAATATAGAAGATTCAATAGCTTTGTATTTGAGGTGATGATGATTTCTGCTTTACATAAATATAACTTCGAACTATCTATGGGTCCTTAGAGTGAATATACCCAGCAGGCAATGAAACCTTTTGGTTTAGAGCTTAAAGAATTAATCATATATATCAGGGCTTCTCCCAAAGGAAAATATATTAAAATCACTTAGGCTTTTTTTTCCCCAGAAAAAAATAGCCCCAGTCAAAATTATTGACCTAGCAGAGAGATGCAAGATTGTATTTGGAAAAAAATTCCCTGTATTTTGATATGCATTTTAGATTTAGATCTGCTGGTGATGGTTGAAGTCACTTGAATGAAGGCTACTGCCAAGGGGAAGGGCAAGGATTACATCTGGGAGATACCAGATTAAGACATTGGCAAATAATGGATTAGTAAAGATAATAATATAGAAAGAATAAGAGGAAAGAAGATAATTAGAATGGAATAAATTTCTCACATACATTGATTTCAAGAAATGACCAACATATTCAGATGACACAGGGTCAAATTAAAGAATTAAAAGGAGCATACTGAATTAGGTAATTAGAATACCATTCGAGATTTTGCCACATTTGATTCCATGAAGTATTCATTCAGTGAACAAGTGAGCTATTTCTTAGAGACCCTGATTTTGGGCAGAGAGAAAAACATAAAAGGAGCATGTATGTGCATGTGTGTGTATGCATGTGCACAAGAGCTGGAGAGACCAAAATCAAGGTCTCCCTGGAAACAAAATTCTTTAATATGGAATAATTTTTAGCATTTTTACAGTTTTAGAAAAGCCATCAGTGGAAATGGATGAGTTGAAAGTGAAGAAAGAAGGGAGAAGCAACTGACTAAGTAATATTCAACAGAAGAAATCGTTAAAAACACTTCTACCATGAAATTAAGCCGGTGCAAATATTTACTAAGACTACAGTTGACCTTTGAATAATGGTTAAGGGTTAGGGGCACAAACCCCACTCCCATACAGAAAAAAATAAAACGCATATAACTTTTGACTCCCCCAAAACTTAAGTATTAATATCCTTCTGTTGATTAAAGTCTTATCAACACATAGTCAATTAACAGATATTTTATGTTATATGTACTATATGCTGCATTCTTACAATAAAGCAATACAGAGAAAAGATGTGCTATGAAGAAAACCATAAGAAAAATATATGTACTATTTATTAAGTGGAAGTAGATCATTATAAAGTTCTTCATTCTCATAATCTTCACTTTGAGTAAGCTGAGGAGGAGGAAGAGTAGGTCTTGCTATCTCACGGGTGGCAGAGGCAGAAGAGGTTTAGGAGATGGAGGATGTGGAAGGTGAGGCAGGGGAGGCCGACACACTAGATGTAACTTTATGAAAGGCATTGTAATTCCTGTCGGCTTTTTTCCTTTTTCATTTATCTAAAAATGTTTACAGTACCGATCTCCATCATTTGCTTTAATTTCAGGGCCCATATCATAGGACTTTTTTCTTTTTCCATTTATCTAAAAATGTTTACAGAACCAATTTGCTTTAGTTTTAGTGCCCATATCATAGAAGGATCCATGTTGTGAAAGAAGTCACAAACAGTTCTGAATAATCAGAACCCTTCTGCCAGATTGTCTAATGTCATTTGTTTTCTGGCACTGCGTCTACATCTTCTTCCTCATTGTCTGGAATTGGTTCAAAATCACTCATCTCCACAAGGTGTCTTCTGTTCATTTCTCTGGTGTCTATTAGCTTTTAAATTTCTCTAAGATTCATATCTTGAAATCCTTCCCCCACCCCATATTTTGTTTGTTTGTTTGCTATATCCACAACCTTTTTCATGATTTCTTCGATTGGCTTTGTTATAAATCTTGTGAAATCTGCACAACAGCTGGACAGAGCTTTCTCCAGCAGGAATTTATTGTTTAGGGCTTGCTGGCTTTCATGACTTTTTCTATAACAATAATGGCATCTTCATAATATGCTCTTTCTATCAGGGTTCTTTTCCATAGCACTGATGATCTTTTCCATAGAGTATGGTGTGTAGTGAGCCTTAATGACCCTTATAACCCCTGATGGAAAGGCTGAATAATTATTAGAGGAATTGTGTTTGAGGGCAAGCAGATTACTTTGATGTCTTTGTTGTTAAAGTCATAAGATTCCGGGCCCGGGGTATTGTTCAATATAAAAAAATATTAAAAAGTAGTTTCTTATTGACAAGGTACTTTCTGACCACAGGGACAAATCATTTGATGGAAACAATCTAGATAAAAGGTTCTCATTGTCTAGGCTTTCTTTTACAACCAAAAGACTGGATGGTGGTGTTTATTTTTTCCTGCAAGGCTTGGGGGTTAGCAGCATCAGAGATAAGAGCAGCCCTGGTCATAAACCCAATTGCATTTGTACAAAACAGTAGAGTTTGCCTCTTCTTTCCTGCCTTAAATCCATTTCTCTTCCTTTCTAATAAATGTCATTTAAGGCTTTTTTGTTGTTGTTGTTCCAGAATAGGACACTTTTATCTGCATTAAAAACCTGTTCAGGTGGCTGTTTTTTTCTCTTCAATGATTTTCTTAATGGTGACTGGGAATTTGCCTGATGTCTCTTGGTCAGCAGAATCTCCTTCTATTATCTTGTTATTTTTTAAGCCAAATCTCTTTCTAAAATTATCAAAGATTCCTTTGCTGGCATTAAATTATCCAGCTTTAGACCCTTCACCTTCCTTTTGCTTTAAATTGTCATAAAATAACTTCACTTTTTCTCAAAATATATTAACGTCTATAGGTGTGCCTTTCTTATAGCAATCCTTCACCCACATAAAAGCTGCATTTTCACTATGAGATAAAAAGGAGTTTTACAAAAAGTGCAAGGTTTTCATGCCTGATGGCATAGCTGCAGTGATGGCTTTACAAAATTCTTTTCTTTTTTTATGATAGTCCTTACACTGCACTTATTTATCTTGAAATTGTGGGTAACCACAGATGCAGATCTTAATCCATGATACAGGTCAAGCAATTCAACTATTTCTTGTAAGTCATGAATTTTCTCTATATCTTGGGAGCACTTCCAGCATCACTAGTGGCACTTCATGTGGGTCCCATGATGTTATTCAAGGTCTATGGTGTTGCACTGAAAATGATTAAAAATACACAAGAATCACAAAATATCAATTTTTACAGCAATACGCATTTACTGGGGAGAAGAATTGGTCATGCAGATGTGATTAACATCGCAAGGCCTTTTAAGCAGGCACTTGCAACACTTGAACTCACCACAATAGCAGCAGGAGGTGGCCATGAAATTATTACTGTAGCACAGCATGGCCTACAGTGAATTTTATACAGTTATGATTTAATAGTGCATCTTTACATTTGTTTACACTGCTTTCAACTGTGAATTGTGCCATGTTTGATCTCTAAGTGTGTGTGTGTAAGTTTTCATATATCTTAACTTTTTATAATAAATGTGTGCATATTTTTGGTAGCAAATAATAAAATAAACTAGTATCTACATAGATGTCATGCATTCATGCCATACCTAATTTTTTCTTGGTTTTTTTTTTTTTTATATTTCTAGGCTCACAGTTTATCTGTGAGTTTTTTTAAAATTGTTGTAAATCTTCAAAAAAAATTTAATGCATACCTTGAAAAAGATCCACATGTAAGTGGGAACACACAATTCACACCATTTGTATTTGACTCTGCAGAAGGTAGTATATCCATAACCATCCCTGCCTTCAATGCAAAGACAGTATGGAATAGGTAACACTTATTCTTAAAAACTAATAAAAGATACAACTAAAACGATGCCTAAGTTACGTGGCAAAGTTATACCATGACTAACCTGTAATTGTGGTTTGTTGATAAATATTTCAGGTCTCTAGACCTGGAACAAACTGCAATGACTATAAACTTATAGATTTATACCTCTTTTTGAAATATCTTCTTTTTTTTTCCAAATCCAATAGTAGTGGATGTATGTAAATCTCGAGAAAGAGTTCTGTTTCTCATGGCACCGGCTATTTGGTAGGCTTGATTAACATCATTTGGACGCATTCATATATTCATGGCACAGCAGACTGAACAGACAATGAGAAATATTTGAACTGCCTTTCACTGCACTCCTCCTATCAGTGTGAATGTCAGAGTGAATGAATCTTTACAAACCATATTAACAGTGAGACCAAGTTGAAGTGAATCAAGGGGAACATATCCTAGCCTGATATAAAAGCAGTAATATTTGTTTCTGAATCACTTGTTTATGCTAATTCATACTAAAAAGAGGGCAGGTGGCAATCACAAATCCTTAGTCTTATTCCCAAGAGGACTTAGTCACAGAAGAAAATACAAGAATGTATCTAATTTCAAAATTTTTGTGGTTATTTTACATTTCGCCTGCATATGTATTGTCTCCCCAACTAACATATAAAATCTGTGATGGCAGGGAATATATTTTTGAAAATAGGTGTCTGAGAGCTCTTTGAGGGCCCTTAATCATCTTTGTATCTGTTTACTAATTACAGTGGCCTTACATAGTAAGAATTCCTTGCTGCATGGAGGGAGTGAATGAATACATGGCCTACTGAATTTAAAAGTACATGGACAACATTATTGTTATTTTAAACACTATTCTTTTTTTCCTGATGTACCTTCATTTTCGCTTTTGATGTTTCAGTACAACAAACCATTACAGCAAATGAAACGGTGCTGTGTATATGGAGACTTCTTTTCTAAAGTAAAAGAATGTAAAATAGATCAATACAAAGATTGTTGCAACATTTGGGCTTCCTCAACCAAGCAGAGTGACAACTTGGAACCACAAAGGTGTATGAACTTATTGTGGAAACTACTGACATTTTTGCTTTCAACTCTTAGTTTGAGTTTTCATAAAAGTTTTAGATTATACGGAAACCTGGGAATTGTCTTCGCTTTAGTAATGTGTCTGGGAAACATCACAGCTGTTCATTAACATATGAATCTAGTAGAGTTTTCAAAATTCCCCAATCATTGTTATCTCTGAGTATATTCTTTGTTGTGAAGGGAAGTGAGTTGTTATTTTATTTATCTGAAGATCGTACTGTGATAAGCAAAGTGTCAAGAATAATCACACCAAATGCTGTCTACCACAATAGCACCCAATTATGCTCTGCATGCCTTTCATCGAGGAAAGAAGTGAAGGAGTTTTTAAATTACTTATCATGACTTGATGAGCTGAACATTTTAATGAAAGAGTTGCTTAAATTCTGAGTAAGACTATTAAAGTTATTAAGAAGATAGATTTCAGACCTGTCATATGTCAGAGCATATAGATTCCAAGAAAATTCCTGAAAGGTACCAAAATTTACTTTAGCTCTCAAAGTCTAAAGAGTTCACATTAATCTGGGACAAATAAGAAGCAGAATGTAAATAATTATGAATATCAAACAGCCAGCATTTGTCAACAGGGATTTTCACATCTTGGAGGTTAAGAAATGGGCTTCCTTATGGAAAACACAAACAACTCCCTGGAGAAGGATGTCTCTGTTGCTTATCTTTTCTTCTTTTCTATAGTTGCCTCTGATGTGTGTGTGTGTGTGTGTGTGTGTGTGTGTGTGTGTGTGTGTGTGTGTGGTGTGTGTGTGTGTGTGTGTTTTTCCCTTCCTACTCCTACCACCCAGAGATTCTATACAAGTTCAGGGATGGTTAGGTTCTAAAAAACATAACAAAACTAACCAGAACTGTTATCTAAAAATGAGTTTATTGATAGATATAGAGTCAAACAAAATAACACTTTAATGTTTCTCTTTTTTTCTAAAATAGGAGAATTACATTATGCTAAGGCAAGTATAGTCTCTTTAAAAAGCAAGTTTAATGTACAGTTAGAGGAAAGTAAGGGAATGGAGTAAAATATCTATTTTAATACAAGATCTTATTTCAAAGAGATATCACTAGAGGGAAAAGGAAAATGATGAAAGGAATTTATTTCCCATTAAATACATTTATACATTCAGTGTGTACTTCCTCTGGCAATCTGAAATATATGGCTCTATTTTAGCTTTTTAGTTTATAATTCATTAACCTCATGCTAACATTATAAAGTCTGTAAACAGTCTGTTCTGAACACATGACACCACTCAAAGCCTACTACAGGTCATTATTTCCTACAGAATAAAGAGCAATTCTTTAGTCTGAATTCATTAGGCTAAAGTTCAGTATTTCTCTACTTATATTTCTAGCCAGACCCTCATACCACATGTTCACCTAAATGTGATTATTTCCACAGTGTGTGTGTTGTCCTGCTAGGAGCAGTTTTCAAGAGCTAGATGACAAATTTTCAGGAACTTCATGATCTAACTAATAACATTCTTACCTTGACATGGGGCTTGGTGGTTATATTAATATCATGGAAATTGGTGTGCTACAAATGGTGTTTTTGTTTTCTTCCACGAGCCATTTAATAGCATACTATTGTTCAATTCTTCAAACACTCCCAGAATGATCCTGACTGTACTTCATGGCATTCTTGTTTGTGTCTGGGTGCCTCCATTCTGTCTTTGCCTGTTGAATCTCATATATAATATCCATCTTTCTTAAGATTCCACTTAAGCATTCTATTTCTGGCTCATAGTTTCATCTCTTGATACTCTGTTTCCTTCTTGTGTGCAGATCTGTAACTGTGGTACATGTAGCCCAAGTTTCCTGTAAGTCATCTATCTCTTTCCTAAAATGTGGATTCTAACATTTAGGTCACATAGAGTTACCCATCTTCTGCAGTTGCTCAAAAATCAGCAATATTATATATTTACATTTATCGACTACATTTCCACTACTCTTCTGTTCTTATTTGCTAATGCTTAAAAGAGTAGGCTAGGCTGGGCGTGGTGGCTCACGCCTGTAATCCCAACATTTTGGGAGCCCAAGGTGGGCAGATCACGAGGTCAGGAGATCGAGACCATCCTGGCTAACATGGTGAAACCCCGTCTCTACGAAAAATACAAAAAATTAGCCCGGCGTGGTGGCGGGCGCCTGTAGTCCCAGTTACTCGGGAGGCTGAGGCAGGAGAATGGCGTGAACCTGGGAGGTGGAGCTTGCAGAGAGCCGAGATCTCGCCACTGCACTCCAGCCTGGGCCACAGAGCAAGACTCTGTCTCAAAAAAAAAAAAAAAAAAAAAAAACAGTAGGCTAAAGTAAAATGTAGAGATTCTAACCCAGTGAGTGCAGATGTTTTCTACTTGTGAAACTACTACGCTTTCGAATTCACTGTATAAAATTCACTGTGTTGGTGTGGTGGGAGGAATTCACTCAGGTAAATAAAGTTTCAGAGCTACCAGAAAAGAGGCTTCTGCCCCTTAGCACTAGGTAGAGGTTTGGCTCTATCAAACCTCTACTTAGTGACAACTGGTAAGTGATTAGTTGAACAAGCTTAGATTGTTTTCTCTTAAAGTTTAAATGTTACATGTTCACCATTATATGAATTTCATTAACAACCACATACAGATGTATTTCTTATATTCTGTGTATTTTGGGTGTTTAAGTTTTTCAAATATAAAGTTAATTTATTTATTTTTTCAATAAGCAAATATTAATCATGTATTCTCTACCAGGAACTGGGGACAAGAAGGAACATAACAAAGTCCCTTTGTTTATGTGGCCTCCATTCTGGTGGGTGAGAGACACAATTATCAAATGAGGAGTAAAAACGTACACAGTATTAAGTGCTATTAAAGTATAGAACAATAATGTAGTATAACAGGATTAAGGGCACTCAGTAATTAGAAATAGCACAATTTTACACTAAAAATCATCTTCTTAATAGACTATTCTAAAATATCCTGTTGAATATGCAGTTTCAATCTGTTAACACCTCTATGCAAAAGTCTCCTATAAACATGTGTGTGTTGTGCTAGGTGACATAGCTGCCAGTAATTAATATTGCCAAAATTCTTTATCTGTATTCTAACATTTATTCCTTCAGAATTCAATATTACCCTGGTTAACATGCTTGTGTTATTACCTTCGTTTTGCAGATGTGGAAAGTGAAGCACTTCTTTTCTTTCTTTCTTTTTTTTTTTTTTTTTAACATTTCGTAGGTTATCTATGATCAAAGTGAGTAAATACCAAATTACCATCCAAAATCATTTTATTTCTGTACACTATTATGTTCTATATCTAGCTATTGTGTTTAACCAAATTTAAAAAGTAGGGGTCAGTTAAACTAATACAATTAAAAATGTGCATTATTTGGTGGAGTTATATTTTGATATATTTACTGATGTGAATATCCCTCCATCCATATTTCTTTAACCCTATGTCATTCTCCTATTCCACAAGCTAAACTATAAGTCATTTATTTCTCAAGGAGATGTTACCACTCAATGAAGAATTAAATAAATTAAACTTTTGGTACTTGACTTTCAAAATCTGAGGTCTGGATATAGTATTAAAATTGTTTTAATGTCTTCCTAATCAGTCAAATTTGCCCCCATTACTAGAAATACTTTTCCTAGACCAAAGGGAAAAAGAGGACAGTCATGAAAGGAAAAAAAAAAGCATCCTCTCTCTGTAGTAGGGGCCCTGGCTTGGTAATTCCATAACATTTTAGAGCTCTTCTTAATAGTAGAGGGGATCAGTGCCCCTTTTTTAGTTAGAACCTGAAAAGACAAGAGAAAGGCCTCTCATGCCATGGAATGGCTGTGGGCACAAGGTCCTCAGAGTTGTATCTACTCCGCTTATGCATGCTAGAGCACTGTATTATAAGAATGGTAAAGAAACTTCAAGCAACCTGAAGATATTTCAGGTAACCCTCTGTGTGGTTCAAAAGGGGTTAAAAGAGAGCTAGACCCAGAAAGTCCTTGCACTCAGAAACAAGGAACAATATCTCAGCAACCCTGAAGACTAATAGAGACAAGGGTGTTTCTTGAATGCCATCATAAAAAGGTGATGAAGTTCAAGGAAAACTCATTCTACCCCAAGTCTTTGGTTGACAAAGGCTATCTGGTTATAGACACAGCTCTATATAAGCAGGTGAGAATGCTGGACCTGGAAGTATTCTGAATTAATGGACAATTTTTAGAAACCCAGTGGAATGAAGACATGAAATAGCACAATAAGTTGAGGTTTTGAAAAATAACATTACATTTCTTGCCAATTTAATTTCATAGGCAAAGTTCGTAGCACTATATAGGGAAAGTGACCTTTGAATTAAATTATTCTAAAGTATTTAAGAGGTAGAATCACCCCCTCTCTCTTTATATTAAGAGAGAAGGGGACTTATAACAATAACTTTAGCATAAAATAAAACATTTTATTAGTGGTAGATGTAATAGGTAAAGAGAAAAGAAAATCAGATTAATATCTTCAGCTTTTGGACTGTAAAAAAAGAGAGTGGAAATCCTAAGCCAGTGTCTTTCTACAAATTTGGAGAAAGAGAGAGTGGCGTCCAGTATCAAAATCAAATGCTGCACTTGATTGAAGCATTTGATTTACTTGCTCAAGTAATTTTTAACTTCCTCTTCCTTTCAGGTTTTCATGTTAAGAGAAAATGAGACAACATTTTGAGGTACCAACTGCTGGAAAAAAATGAGAAAGGAAAACATCATTTATGTTTTAAAATATTATAATCACTTTTGACAACATTTATGTACTTCCTGCTTTACTGATTAATTAAGAATTTTTGTCATCTTTTTAAAGGTAACATAAAGCAATGCTCTGTGCATTCATAATTATGGCATGCTTTCCTTTCTTTTTACCTGGTTATATATATTTTTTTATTTAGTGGCATTTAACAGGATTATGTCCTAGAAAACAAAATGTATATTTAAATAAGATAACCTAGCCATTTTTTCCCTCAAGTTTAATGCTCTAGAAAATTATTACTATGGTAAGCATATGTTTTAAAAAATTACTTTGTGTGTTAAATAGCATAACATGATTTGAAACAATTTTGTCATGTGTGGCCCTTTTTACATGAAAAGAATGTCTCTTTTAGTCTTCAGTTTTTAGTGTCATTTTTTCCAGTGGCGATCCCTTGCAAAATGTAAGTCTCAAGCTACACTGCAGAATCTATTTTTATAGAAGGAAATATCCTTCTGTACGATCCTCAAATGAAAAGCTGTCATCCATCTTCTGAATAGGCTTTATCCCCCCTTCAATGGCTAGTTTTTGAAACTGCTGATGACTAGAAGCAATTCTTTATAACTCCCTAAATAAAGACATCAGTCTATCAGCAAAAAACAGTACATGAGCTGGAAGGGGCAGCTGTCTCTAAGAGGGGGTGGGAAAGAAAAACACTCACTTACCAGCTTAGTTAAAAGCTGCTGAAGGTTATTATTGAGTGAGTGCCAATGTGATGTGTCCTTACAATTTAAAATGCCACTTCAAGCAAAAGACTTTTATTTTTTTTTTACTTTTTCTTTTTTTTTAATATATGCTATATCAACTTAAGTATATAAATTCTTCTGTGCAAAAGAGTCTTACCCTACCATCAAAGGTAATTAAAGTCAGAAAGGAAACTTCAAAGCCCAAATGAAAACTGAATCCTAAAATGATCAGTTCATTTTAGGATGAAAGAAAAAGCATTATTCAGAGTGTCTTAGAGAAAAGTAAAGGTGAAGCAAAAAAATCTATAGTGCCTCATCCACATATCCATCCCTCATTTAACTTGACCTTGCTTCTTTATTTTACTCTTCATGTGATATAATATATATTATAATTAGAATTCAATTAAAAGGTACAGTGTGATGAGCTAATCAAAAGCAAATAGATAGAGTGAGAAATTATCCTTCATATATCTTGTGTTTTTTATTTGTAGACTCCCGTCACTGTCCTTGTGAAGGCTTTGTCATCTTCTGTTTCTCCCCATGTTTTGAAAAAAAATACCTTGGGGTAGATTTCTTAAATACCTGTTTTACTGGGTATATTCTTAGCTTCTTTAAAATGCAAGATCATTTCTTCTGTCCTGGAAAATGTTCTGAGATTATGTCATTGACAGTTTCTTTCTCTTCATTTTTCTTCTCTCTTTTGAATCGTTTGAATGAATCCTCTAATTTTGTTCTCTGTGTGTTTTTGGCATTCATTCTCTCATAGAGACATATATAAGTGTCTATGTATACGTATATATAGTAGAGAAGGGCTCTAACTATGTTGCCCAGGCTTATCTGGAACTCCTGGCCTCAAATGATCCTCCTGCCTCTCAGCCTTCCAAAGTGCTGGGATTACAGGCTAGAGCCACTGTGCCCAGACAAGTACTCCATTTTCAGGAGTAGTAATCTAGTGCTATAAAGCTATTAGTGCTCTGTAATCAGAGTAGAGAAAGCGTTTGAGAGAAAGATGGTGGGTCTTATCTTACCCCTAAATTTTCACTGTAGCTATTATTTATCTTTCTCACTCGCTCGTTCTCTCTCTCTCTCTTTGATGTATGAAAAGTATTAACCAGAAAGATGTGGATTTAAAATATCTGCACCTATACCAGTGTAGTCATTTTCTAAAGCAATGTTTTTCCTTATATAATGTGACTGGACCCTCTCATCAACTGGAGAGGAAGAATAACCATAGAAAAGTTGATGGTCATCTAGAAGTGTTTTCAATACATGGCTATGTGTTAGAATCAACTGGAGAGTGTCCAGTTACTGTATTTCATTATTCCCCAAACCAGCCCCAAACCAGGCCTAGTAAGTCGGAATTTTGGGTTATGAAGCCCTGGGATTAGATTTACTATCATAATTTTTATTTCACCTGGTCATTCTGATTATAGATACAGGCCTTATAAAATTGAAAATAATAAATTTTCCAAAAATAATCATATCAGTTAAAAAACAATAAATAAGGGAAATTTCTTTCTCCCAAATTCTAGTCCTTTAAACTGGAATTCATTCAGGAAATATTTATTTCTGCCCAAAACCACCAGGATACATAAAAACTCATTTGTTTCCTGATGAAATCTGAGAAGCATCCTAGTGAAGTGCTTGGAGGCTAGATTTATCAACTCAGTCATTGTCAATGTAGTCAGCATACCATAGATTATGAAAAAAGAAGGGATTTTCTACCTAGGATATTGACCCTATGACCACGCAGGCCAAATATATGTTTTATAGAATATCAAGATATCTGACCTATATATTTTAGGCTAAGTATTCAATGACTAAACAGGGTCAATAGACAAGTATTTTTCAAACTTGTCTTATCCTAAATATCAACTAGTGCATTCACTAAAAACAAAGATTTATGAGCTTAGTAAGATATTACTAGACCTTGCAATTGAGACTGTAAAGAATATTCATAAAATCTGTATTTTTAACAAATATTTCATAATTTTTATAAACAGGTAAGTTTAGCCAACATTCGAGCTAGATTTTTGACTTCATGTTGTCAGGGACATGAACTTTTTTCTTTACTTCTAAATTTACTTCCCACATTGTCTGGTACTGTTTGTGAATGAATAATATTTTTTAAGTGGTATGAATCTCAGACTTTCAAAATGTTAGAAAAGCCAAGTACAGTATCACAAAGCAATTTATGAAGGTCCAGATGATGAAGAAACTTAAAGAATAGCAAATTTCATGCATGAAATTACTAAAGCTAGGATGTAGCAATGATAGTGGCACACCTCATGAGTAAACCTTGTAAAATTATTTTAGAGATTTGGAGGGGCCATTTCATACTGTGTAAAACATTCATAGAGTAGTTTCACGTTTTTGTAATGACATATGTATCAAAATGAAAAAAAAGAAGGAAAAAGATAATTAAGAAAATAAGAAAGAGGAACAAAAAGGGGCAATTAATTCAATCTTTTATGTAGCAAATTAATCTATTGGCTTAATTAATATGATTGTCCCACATTGCCTATGCAATGTGACTTTTTATCTATTTATCTATTTTTATAACTATCTTTCTCTCCCTATAGTCACAATAAAAAAATACTAATATGAGATAAGCTTATCTATTAGCTAGGGGTCAAAGTTGAGCACAAAACGTAGTTACATGGTAGATTATCTTCCTATGTCCTTTGATCTTTATATATTTTCACTTATATAACTAAACTGCATATTGAATTCAGTTAATTTGCATTGATCATAAAATATTTATGGCTATACTTTTTTCTCTGATCATAGTTTTAAAACTAAATCTCATATATTTTGATATTCTGTGATGCTTATGATTATTTTAATTGTATTCTAATTATAATTTATATTAATTTTTTTATTGTTGGGGAGTTTGGTGTTTTGATTTGCATTTTCAAGTTTGTTTTTTGATTTTGTTTTTTTAAGTTGCATTGGTTATATTGCATTGTAGTCATAGAATGTGATATGTAAGATTTCTGATGTTTTCTAGTTAATTACAATACAAATTTTTCTCAAAATATAATCAATTCTAATTGTCCATTGGGCAGGGTTTGAAAATGAACATATTCTCTGTTCAAGATACATACTTAAATACAGTTGAAAATAAAATCTTCTATATTTGTTATATTTTTGTAAAGCCCTCTGTAGTTTTTTGGTGTCTCCAAGATCTATCCAAGTATAATTATATTTATAATTACCTTTTTCATTTTCAATGTAATATTATTAGTACAGCCACTTTTCTCTTTATCAAGTAATATTATTTTTGTGATACACAATCAAATATAAAGCAACTTGCCTTGCTTTGTGTTCTATTTGCTATTAATATTAAAACACTATTTTTGTTTTTATGTTTGTATTTTACTCATTTTTTAATAGCTTGTTTTTATACATTGCACAATGCATAAAACTATTGCATTTATTCGCTATTGCTTTGCTTTCAGCTAATCTGAGTTTGTTTGCCCTCTAATGCAGAGGTTTACATTTAAATATAAACCATTTACATTTATTATCAAACTAGAACATTTGGGATTAACTTTGTTATAATGCTTTATAGCAAAGTTGTTTTATACTTTCAATTTGTCTTTATTATTACTTCAGTTACTTATCCCTTAGGTTTTTGTTCTCTGGACTGAATCTAATTCTTAGGCAGATTATTTTTTTTGCCTTATGAACTAGAAGTATCTAACTTTTATGGCATCACAATTTAACAAAAAATTTAAAAGTTCTTTGCTATACCACATAATTATATCTAAATTTCTTTTACTGTGAATGTTTAAACTGTATCTTGATTATTAATATCTTCTAAAGTAAAATTAGAAGTTGGTCATCTTTTAATTTCCTAAATTTTATATTCTCTAAGTGCAATTGAAATAACCTGTTTTTTTAATCAGAGGTTATTGTTTTTATAATATTTTCCTATGTGACAGAAATTTTTCTTATTTTACTTTTATGTCTATTGAGGATGTCCTACACAAAATGCTATCTTTTCTTATGATAGCTTTTTATTTTTTTCTTCCTAGCAAGGAGAATAATAACATGCATTCTAGTCCTTTCCTCTTGATAGAAGTGAAATAGTACTTTTCTGGAAGATGAATGCTTACATCTAATCTAGGGTGGAGTATATGCGTAATTTAGACAACATTTTATCCATTTTGATGAATGATTCATTTAGGGAATAGAGAAAGACAGTGCATTCTCCCTTCTACCTGTTCTGGCCCCATATTCACTCTGTCATATATTCCTCAAATGTGATTACTGAGGGATTCTGTTGTTGTTTGTTATATGGTTTAATGAATTTAAGTGATTGCAAACATAATCTAGATTGGTAAAATAGGATAAGAAATTTGGGGATGGGATGGGGAATATTAGGCAAGAATTTATATGTGGTTAGAATACAAAGGACTACAAGATTAATCAACAAAATTCAAGCATAGCTGATGCGCTCTCTATTATTAAAAAATTATGTCACAATCTAAAACTTTTAGCTGAATATGACTGGCTCCACATCACATACGTAATGAAATCTAAACTCACCTGGATGCCTTCTGACTCTGACTTGTGACTTCTGACTTTGACATTCTTTTATAGCCTTAAAACACACTGTTCTTATATCCGAACCCAGGCTCCAACCTAATTTGACTTCTCTCTTTGCTCCAAACTGACCTCATTTCTCACTGACTGCTTTTCCTGCTTTCTGACTAGAATATCTTACTTCTTCCCCTCTAATAGTGCTCATTTGGAAAAGTCTAGCTAAACTACCAGGTTCTCATGGATGGTTTCTGTGAACACATTATTTAGAAGTAATCATATTCTCCTCTGATGATATATGTCCAAACCAATTATTAACAAACTTTAATTAAAACTTTTATAATTTGTACATCACATGCAATTGTAACAAATAATACAGAGAGTTTATACAAGGAACTGACATTGATACAATCCACTGATTTTATCAAGTTTCTGTTTGACTTGTGCTTGTGTGTGTATGTATGTGTATGCCACGAATTTAATTTTAGCCTTTCTTGCCTCTCATGATTTTACCACTTAAATGTCATGTTTATCTCTCATGTACATTACGGAATCTGGGACCAAGAGTTACATTGTCCATTTTCTTTTCTTTATGCTTAACCAATTCTCCATTCAAGCACATTACTTATAAATAAGATGCATGCAATAAATAATATTAATTGATTGATAAGGTAATGGGCTGATTATTTCCCTTCATGGCTCTATGTGCTTAAGCATTTAAAAATAGAAATGACTAATACTTTTTTCCCAATAGTGATCTTCAGTCAGGCTGATCATAAATATCACCAAGAATACTTTCAGAACAACAAATGCCCATCTCCAAATGGAAGTTCCTGATTTAATAGGTGTGGGGTGGTTGTGGGCAATTTTGGTTTCCTAGGTGTGTCTGATCAGAGTCTGGCTTTGGCAGTAAAGCTTTTAGCCATCTGGTTTTATACCAAACCCCTCCTTAGAGATACAGAAAACTGGAAGGCAAGCCCAATACACTCATTTCTAGGGTGTAGTGTAAGACAGGAAGGTGGCAAAAGAACTCAGTGACACATGATGTTATTAGAGTAATATGGATATTTTCTCAATAGTCTTTTGCTTCTCCATAGTATAACCACTAATCCTAAGAAGAGCACTCCATATCACCTTTCAAAAGCTTGCATATTAATTTATGCTTGCCTTTTAATTTTCTGATTTACTCTATTCCCCTCTATTGCACAGGTGCAGAGAATATTATCTTTCTACAATCAAGGATTCTAAAATCCAACTTAAAAATTACAAAGTACAATTTATGTAAATGAACTCCCCAAATCTCAAGTCTAAACTCTGTATTGACAGTAAAGAATAAAGTACTGAAAAAAATTAATGGGCTGTTTACAGGAATAAAAATAAAAATATCATCAACATATAAAATTTGAGGGCTTTTTTGTCCTACAGTAGCTTTAATATCCATGACATTTTATACTTTACAAACATTGAATTATTTTGACATTATAAAAAGCAACTTATGCTGTTAAGTAAAAATGTAAAACAAAACAAATATTAAGAATTTGAAATATATTTTATATATCATTAGTAGACATAGTATATAACTAAATATACAGTTATATAAAACTACATATTATATATATAACTATTTAGATTATTATAATTGAGAAATATACACAAAATCTGTATTTGAGAAAATAATTATCCTTATATATAATAAATGACTTTGTAGGTTGAAAATATTCAAAATCCTAGGCAAAGACATTCCTAGATAAAAGTTGGTAAATCAGCTTTAGAAGATGACAGACTTAAGACATATTCAATTATTAGCTGATGTTACCTAAATCAAGTTTGACACATAATTATATATATTTACATTATTCTTGCAATGCTAGAGTAAATAGCTGTAGAATATAAATACAAGAGTCATCTATTTAAGTTATATTTTGTTATTCTATTTAATTTAAAAATTTAAAATCTTTTTTCAGTGTTAATTAGTCTCTGGGTTGGTATAAAAGAAAAACATGTTCTGGAGAGAAAAAGGGATACTTAATTTTAACAGCTTAGGAAGAGTAAAATCAAAATCAGATGTTCAGTTCAATGAAATAATACTCTTGTGAATATGTAATATGATGTTATCTGCCTAAAAACAGTTAAAATACATTCATAATTATTAATATAGAATCAAAATGAATTAATAAAATCCACATAGCAATATCCAAAAAAATCTAGTCTAAGGAAAATATAGTATTTACTATTTCATAAGAAATAACATTTGAAACTTTACAGAGATTGAAAAATATCAGAGAAAAGCACTGACATGATTATATTTCAGATGTGTATATGAAAGATAATTTATTAAACAGAAAATTAATAGTATGGGAATATATTTTCATAATTAGTAGGAATGATTATTTTAATACATATAAAATATTTATCTCATTATGTAAATGAGCAAAAACATACACAATAGAGATAGAATTGTAAATGGTAACTAACAGCTACCAATAAGATTACTATTGACAGTAATTAAGGATATAAATATTAAACAGTTTTGAGATACAATCTTAAAACTACTAAATTACCAAAACAACTAACAAAATATTAAAAGCCAGCAAACTACCCAATTTGAGAAAATAGATTATTTATTGCTTGAATTGATATACCGAAAACCTTTTCAATGATCATATTCATTAACTAAGCAGGCAAAAGATACTTGCATGAATTTACTTCATCGATATAATGGAATGATGAAAACACTGATGTTATAACTAAATAAATGTAGACAACCTAGCTATCCAAAAACAAATGGAAAACTAGATTATAATGCTTTAATCTTGTGAAATAGTTGGCAACTATTAAAATTAAAATAACATCAATCATAAAACATAAAAATATATATGAAATAATAAAAAGGCAGAAGACAAAATTGGACAGTATGATTATAAAAATCTGTCTCATTTAACTACCTGTATATGTACAAAATACCTTTTATGTTGATGGGCTTAAATTCTTACCTATTTTTCAAAATGTTCTTATTATTATTACATTTTTATAATCAAAGGGGAAAATTGCTAATTTCAAAAAACAAGCAAACAAAAAACCCTTCTCAATAAAATAGTTATATAACCTAGTTAAATTTGCGTACCATAAATAAAAAGCATACATTCTAATACAATTTAAAGGGAAAGATAACCAATGTTAACTTTATTTCTTGTCCGCATGACTTTATAGGTAATTTCTTTATACAATAAATTAATGTCATAAAAGACTGACTATTTATTGTTGATTAAATACAATAAATGTCAACAAAAGGGCAATAGTTAGCAAAAGAAATTATTATACATACAAAAATTATGCATGTATAATTTATACGCACTCACTTAAATAGAAAATAAATCACTGAAGACCAAACTTTAATGTTCAGCATTTGCTTTGCAGTGGAAAAAGATTCAGAAAATATCTATTATGAAAGAAACTCCTTTTTAACAAATGTAGTTCTAGGTATTAGACTTTGAAAGGATAGGAGAATGCTTTTTAATGAATGTGAAGTAATATTTCAAGGGAAAACTGTTCTCTAATAGAGAGTTACTATTCATAGAAACTAATTATAAAAGAGGATTTCACTAATTTTAAAGGTGTCTGACCAAGGTGAAAAATTAACAATGAATCATATTGCCATTGGCCGATCACCTGATGGTGTATGAGTACTTTATCATGTGTACCTCAGGTACAGTGCCCATGGAGTTCATCGACCCACCAACCACAGAACTGTTCAGCACAGGACTCCTAGATGTGTGCCTGAACAATGTGAAATGATTAAAAGATGTATTTTTAAATCCTAAATTTCAAAGAATGTCCTTTCACTAAGATATTCATAATTCAGCATAGTGACAAGTAATTACTCTAAGTGATTAATTGACAGATAGACCTTAATTAGGTAATGCTGATTTTGTAATTTCATAATTTAAAGGAAATATAAAAGACTGAGTAATTAATATTTTATTAGATTTATTTCCTTGAGCTTAAAAATATAATGTGTTCTTTGCAAATATTTTCTTCATCTGTATAAAATACAAAGGTCTTTACCCACATTAAGTTTTCCAGCATTTATCCAAATACTTCATGCAAAAATTGAATTTTCCTCCTATCTTCACAGTTTGGATGAAGTTTTCATGCATTTGCTTGGTAATGCTTTGACAAAATGTATTAGTGACTTAAATTGTGGGTTGAAAAAATCAAGAAACGTATTTCAAAAACATTATCCTTCAACTTTTGAAGTAAGGAAATCTCATCTTCCATATTAATATTTCAACTTGTTCAATCAAAGCATTGCATGTTTTCAAAAGGACTAAAAAAATCTAAAGGTTTTGTATATAAAAACAGAAAAAACCTAAAATGGTATGTTTCAGTAATGCACAATAAGTTAGTGTATCATAAATGGGATTTCTTCAGGGAACATTCAACAGATATCACAAGACAATAATAGTGTTTTCTCCTTTGAAATTGAAAGTTGATAAGCCTTCTCACATGATGTTTGATAAATGATATATATGCTTTAATATTATTTTTTAGGCCACTGTATTTTTTCCTTAAATGTACTTCCTGTACGGCCAAAATTTTTGAGAAAAAAAAAGATTCGTCTTCTTTGAAGGAAGAATGATATCTAAAATCTCTGATATTTGCATGAGAAGACTGATGGATTTTTATTTGCCAGAGATTTCCCCGTGTGTGTATTCATGCGCATGTGTATATTTTCTAACAAAGAAGAAAAAAATTTCAATTACAATACTTGGAAGCATCTGTGATTTTTAGCATGTATATAGGTATGCATTTCATTTTCTGCTGAAAGAAAATAGTAGACTAGGATAGCCAAAAGAAGATTCATTTATAGGGTCTACCAAGGCTACTTGCTACAGCAGTTTACTACCACAGGTTGATTAACTTGTTGTGCATGTATTATACTTATTTAATTTACATTTAACAGTGCTTTCCAAATCAGCTCTCAAGATAGAAGCTTCTTTTACTGATGTCTTTCTTCACAGCTCTTTGCAATCTCTAAAACTCATTCTGTCTTCTTACATTCTGTTGGAAAGATTATTTCCAATATACCTCCTGGGAAATACTCTCTTTGAAACTAGCAACACTTAATGAAAAACATATACATATTCATTAAAAGGAAGATACTGAAAAAATATGGCTAGTTTATAATCACTCTGATCAGAAGAATTATTTTGAACATGAAAGAAATCATCAACTGTAAATAATCCAGAGATCAAAGATCTGAGAGGGGGAAAAAGAAATGTGGGCTAGAGGGCGGACACTGCATCCCTGTGTGGGCTGGATGCAGGGCTATCAGAAAACAGGCTGAGAAAGGAAAATGAAATCAGCAAGGTTGTGCCAGCCACGAGGCTTCCTTCAGAAGACCGGAAGCACAGAAGAAAAGTGGCATTAACCATTAGAAGTAGTGAGAAAAGTCATGATTTTTTGTTAGCTACTTTTTCCCTTCAATGACCATATTAATGTTAAGAAGGTTTTCTGTAATTCTGGGTGACTTTTTAATGAAAAAAAATGAATATATTGTTTTGGAAATTTACTTTTCTTCAATCAAACTCATTCACTCTGATTAAATAATGAAGATCCCACTTGAATGCATTTCTGGTCAGGCAAATTATTTATGCACCTTTGGCATTGTCAAAGAGATCATTTGGATCAATTGTGTCATTTTAGGGTTTACATTTGGCAACTATCTCTACTGTTAAATAACGGCATGCATTTAAAAAGTGATCATATTTTATAAAATTGAGCATTACACACTTATGTTTCTCTACGTGGTATTCTTTTGGATACATATATATAGAGAGAGAGACAGCGAGAGAGAGAGAGAGAGAAATATATATATATATATATATATATATATATATATATATTTCTGTAGCAGAGTTTTATCAAAAAGCACAGATGTAATTGTTTAAACATTTTTTCTATTTTGAGAAATACTGTCCTGTCAACTAGGGATATATTTATTTTATAGACATAAAAGAAAATATTTGAGGTTGGAAATATTATAATAAATTTGTATGTCACTAAGTTTTTAGGAGCTTAGAGATATACACTTACAAAAATAAAGTGATTAACACATTTCAAGATAATAGAAATTAGAAATAACAAAAAGTTTATTTCCACTTGTAAGTTGACAATGTTTAACACAATGTCTATGATGAACAGGAATGTATGTTTCAGGACAGCAGTAGGAATACATTATTTTGAAAAAGTTCAGCTACTTTTATCTGCTTTATTGCAAATTAAAATATTAAGAATCTATAAATTAAAAATATGAATTTTGGTAGTAAAGTTAAATAGATTTAGAAGAATCAAGAGTTAGTGTTAGAAATTTTATATTAAAATAGATAATAGATAGATACATAGACATCTAGATATACATTTATACGTAACTTCCAAAACAAAGTAGGTGTATTCATAAAGCATCACCATACAAATGGTTTGATATTGTGGGCAAATGTCCACCTCCAATTTAGTGGCAACAGGCTTATATAGTTCTGAACCATTTCCAGCTATCCATTGGCCTCTGTGCTGAAATGAAAATAACATCATTTTTGAAGTAAGAAAAAACAATTTCAGTTCTACCTTTGCTATTTATTAGCACCCTGACATTGGGAAACTTAGAGAAACAACCTGAGCCTCAGATTGCTCATACAGTCAAAAACTAAGGATAAGAATACATCTTCACAAAGTTATTGTGAGCATTAAACAAAGCAGTACATTAAACCACAGTGATACTACGCGTTCACCCAAGTAATGTTTTCTTTTTATTTCCAAGATTCAGAAAGAATTTTGAGTACTAAGGTACAGGGATGAACTAATCCGGGAACCATTCAGTTGAAATGCAGTAGGTTTCCCTAAATTCATTGGATTTTGGTGATTTTTTGGCCTAGAAAACAATGCATGTTACATATGCAAAAGTTGTTACGCTTCAAATCACAACTTTGTCTATTTCCACAGGTTATAAATTGACCGAAGCACTGCACAGTGTAGGAATTAATAACACTCACACTCACTGATAATAAGTAATGACAGTGTGGAAAATGACTCATGACTTGGGGGTATTCCTTATTTTCTCCTGTATATAATTTCTTGTTGTTTTGTGATGCTTTGTCTTTGAACATTGACCACAAGCAAATGTTGCAGCCATGGCAAATAAATAAATAAATAAATAAATAAATAAATAAATGTTTGATTTAGTCTACCGTGATGGTCATTGAAGAAATTTTTAACCCTCAGGAAACATTAAAACTGTAATTAAAGGTGACCATTTTGCAATTTCATCCCTCCAATCTTGATAACTTTAAATCCTAACTCAGTGGAATGGGCCAAATAATAACAGGTGCAAATTCTATTTGCATCTGAGTATCCAGCATCAAGATTGTGACTAAGGCTCTATGAAAATCAGTAAGAAAAGTTGGACTTTAAAACTTACATTTTATGAAAGATAAATATATATAAACAGTATGTCATAACACCTTTCAAATAGCTTGTTATTTTGTAATATATTTGGGAATTGATATAAAATTAATTGTTTGCTTTAAAAGATGGGATATTGGAAAGCAACTTTGTTTTATAAAGAAAGCAGGTTTATAAGAAAGACACAAATGCTATGGCTGGCTTGTTTTGATTTTTCAAGCTGTGCTTATTTTCACTTTCATAACATCAGTGTAACATTTTACTTATATAGAGCACTTTAAAGTGAAATTTATTAATATATCAAATATAGTAATAAAGCTATACCTTACCAATAAATTTCGCCCCCATTCTCTTTGAATACTTTCTCCATATTTGTTGTCATTCAAATTATTTATCTGAAACACAGACATTGTTTTATATTTTACTAGATCTAATAATACATTTTGGAAATTATCTGTCCTCTTTCAGCAAATATATTCCAGTCAGAAAATAAAATTATCAAAAATGTTATTGTCACAGTATATTTTGTAACCAGAATATTTAACTGTCTTTATTAATTACTTTGTTACTGTTATTTAAAATAGCATAGAATAGAAACTCACAATAAAGTGACACTTTTCATTTGTAATTAAATTTATTATTGAAATAAAACAAAACTTTTCTATAGTATTTTAATGAATTGTGCTATTTTATGGGAGATTTATTTATTTGGTAAAAGGAAGTCATGTAGTGATATTTTATAGAGTAATTGAGTTGAGAAATTGTGGCATTTTCTCTCAAGAATAACTTTAGGGGGCACTGTGCTGCCAGTAGAGTTTTTTCTGGACAAGACAAATTATCTTGGTGTTTTGCTTTTTTTTTTTTTCCTTGCTTGTGAAAATATCTAAGCAAATACGACAAAAGAATCATGTCAAAAGTATTAAACATTCTTTAATTTGTATTTTTCACTAGGACATTGCCTGAAAGAACAATTTTAAAAGTTGTTGAAAGAGCATGTTTCCAGAAAAATAGTTGTTTTTCAATAATAACTTGGAGATGAAGGTTATTATCTACAGTTTGATTGGTAGTAAGGAAACAAATCATCCAGCAAACAATATATATAGGAAAAAGCATCTTACCTTGGAGCAAAAGAGGTGTGGGGAGAACATTTACAATAATAATTTATTGCACTGCAACTGAAAAAAAATTCATGTTAGTTGTCTGTGATACAAGAGCAGATAGCCAGAACCAGAAGTCACAAAGTAAAAAATTCCTTATTAATTGTAGTGAACAGGAAGACAAGCAGGAAAAAGAAAAACAACAATGGTAACAACAACAAAAATAAAGCATACCAGCACACGTACCCATTTGGTGTTTCCAATGGCTTACCTCTGTAAACTGCCCCTCCCGCCCAACTCTATCAATCATCTCTGTCATTCGTATTACATTCTAAAGAAGATCTTTTGTCATCTGGAGAAATCAAAGCAAGAGCTTTCAAGAGACAAGGAAGCTATTGTTAGAAATCCTTCTCTTTTACTTGCATCTTTTTCAAATTGACTGATTATAAAAAATTAACTCGATTGCTTCTAATAGAGCTACCTGGAAGCTTTCTGTAGTTTATTTCCAAATTATACAGTTTCAGCTAAAAATTATATATAGATTTGGAAGTTACGAATTTATTTTAGGACCAATTACAATGTTTTCCTTCCTATTAGAAATATATAACTAATATTTCCCCTTCTTACCTTTTCAGCTGATATTTGAGGCTAAGGCTCATAACAAATGTATGGATTTCATAAAAAGGAGGCCAAATTGACTGACACAGAAAAAAAGTTACGTGTCTTTTTTGTATATGACTTAATTCTCTAGAAAATATATGCTTATATATAAAGGTCATGTGAAAAGAAAAAAATAGTTTTGAAGAATCACACATATTGAAAAGAGGCATGTTAGAGAAAAATGATATATTTTTTAAACATTGATTTTTGGGAAACAGATAAACATGTTATAGGTAAAGAAGAGTTTTGTATGAGTAATTCTATTGACAAGACTTTGCATACTTTGAATTCTAGTATATTTCAATTGATAGCTTATTGGATTGTGGCCCTCTTTTAAAGCCTGTAACTTTTATGATGATGAAATAATACAAAGACTATAAGTAGGCAAATAATGCACATTTAATAAACACTTTGCTACTATATATATATATATACACACATGACACACACATGCATATTTTCATATGCATAAGGAAAAATAGCTAGCAGTATTTGTCAAAAAATAAAAAATCATAAGTTGGGATTTTTTTGCTAGATAAAAGACATTTTGAACAAATTAAAGATTCAGATCAATTTCCACTAATTTCTTTCATTAAGTACTAAAAAGTATATGTAAATGCCCAAAAAGTATATGTAACTGACCTTATTTTAAAAAGTATTTAATTTACTCTAACCCTGCATTTGCAGAATCACTGGTGTTTCAAGTGGATTACTTTCTCTTTTAAATTCTGTATTAGTATATTTATTAGGAATAGTTTGCTTCCATGTGGCAACTCGAGAGTATGTTATGACAACAAGTGGTATTGCTTTTTAATGTCAAAGGTGTTCAGGGTTACATGAACTGTAATGTAATTATTCTCTAGCTTTGTTTCTAGGCATTCCAATGCTTGTAGGGCTTAAATCAGTGGGAAGAATTAAGAAGAGTAGAAGAAAGAATATCAGATAATCCCAGATTTTATATCTTTATCAGTGTTCACTGAAAGAATTTTAAGAGATTAGCAACAGGCTAAGTGGATTTCTTACTTCCTCCTGTGAAATTTAATCATGTTCTTTATCTCCTATTTATGGCTTAAAAAAATTCAACAATATTTATAATGGAATTTTCTAAAATTCTATTGTCATTTATCTTCCATTTCTGTTGGTAATTCATAGAAAATTCTTTAATATGTCCTTTTTTCTTAAAATTTCCTAAATGAATTTGATTAGGCAAATGCTGTTTCTATTGCCATATGGATTTTGTGATACTGAATTGAAACTATTAATATTAAAAAATTACAATCACAATTCTAATTCTGATTTACACATTATTCAGTTAATTTATTAATAATGCCAGACACTTTTACATCAAAATACCACCAAGGAGTTTCTACATCAGAAAGTACACGTATATACTCTTGGGTATAGTTTTATTTTGCAGTAAAAAATATATCGTGTCATCCATTTGAAATATATGTTTGAGACCCCAGATTTTAAATGTAATCTTTTTTTCCCTATGTTAAGGTTTACATTTTTACAAATCTAGAGAACATGTTCTGTAAGATGTTAATATATTTTTTTAAAATTTAAACTTTAAAGGATATTTATATGTTTACATATTTTTTTTAGGGATGTTGATTTCAATTTGTCATTTATTTACTTATATCTGTTTATTTAAATCTCTTATTTTTCAAGGTCTAGATTTTCTTTTGGCAATCACATGTTAAGTTAATGAAAAAATTGATTTGTCAAGTGTTAATAATATATACATATATATGAATGCATATATTGGTAAATGGAGATACATGAATCACTTTGATTTAATATTTTGCATCCCTAAGGAAAATATTCAAAATGAACAATTTTTTATGAGGAAACAAAAACTCTAAATCTTACTCAAAGAGATGACTGACAACATTTTTCTCTTCTATATTTATTAAGAGCACTCTTAAAAATATTCATAGATTTGTTGCAATTCAGAAACATTTTAAGACTGAAATAGAATGGTTATTTGTGGACATAGAAGGATATTTTTAATATAGGAAAAACAGTCTTCCTTACTAAGAATACTTGTAGAAGAGTCCATTTGGACTAAATTTTGACAGATTTTATGTATTTTTTCTTGAATTGTATACACAAGAGTAATAAAATAACAACCAAAGTCTTCTCAGGGATAATACATTTATGTTTTATAAATACCCTAATTTTTAGTCCTCATTGATGTCATCTAAGGTCTTGCTATTCAGAGTATTTTCTGGTACCAGCATCATCAGAGTCACCTGGAATCTTGCTAGAAATACAGAATGCTAGGTCTTACTGCAGACCCACTTAATCAGAATATTTGTTTTAACAAATTCCTAGGTGATCTCTATGATATCATTTTTTAGATGCACTGATAAGGTAACAAAACCTTGAAGTAAAATTTAAAAGCAGTAACCAGAAAAGGCCAGGATAGAATTAAGGAATCTAGCAAAATATTGCCAACCCGCACAAGGGTTTTTTTCTCTTGGGTTATCTGGCTCTATTTATGGTCAAATCTATTAATCCAGTAAATATATTCTTTTATTCTTGTTTTTTTTTCATTTATCTCCAGAATCACCAACCTCTGTTACAATGTATAAATATCAAATTCTCAGTAAGAAGTCATCAAATATTGAAGGGTGTTTAAGGAAGAGAAATACCAATGGCTGCTTGGTTGATGGCTTCTTTAAAGAGAACTAAATGGAGTCACTTTTTTCCAGCAATGCCTGTCTCTTGCTTGGCCACCCATAGCATGAAAGTTAATGAGTACATTATTTGAGTCTTTCCAGTTTCTTAATTGTTGTGCTTCATCAGAAGGAAAACTGTGATTTTTTTTTTCATGGCTTGTGCTCCTTCATGGGAAAATTAAAAATTATTATAAAAACCTAAAAGCAAATAAAAACAAAACAAAACAAAGTTTGAGTTATGTTACTTTTATAAAAGGAACCTAATGATGGGAAATGGAAAACTTAAAAATATTTTTTTCTTCACCAAAATGTATATGAAGAAATATATGAATAAACATAAGTATAATTCTTAGAACTTATATTTTATATGTTATCTTTTTTTTTCCTTGAGAGATATGAATAACTCTGGCCTGTAATATGTAATATTGAATGTATTAAATATAACATGATTATAACACTTATGTTGATATAAGTTTAGGAATGCATTTTGAATTGTTTAATTATATTATTACTTTAGCTCTATTTGAAAATACTGAAATATTTTTTAAACATTCAAACTTTATGATTAATGGCCTTTATATTTTAACATAAGATATTTATTCTAAATCAGCTGCTGGTAGACATTATTTTTCAAGGGCCCAATGGTAAATATGTAGGTTTTGGTAGCCATACAGTCTCAATAATTCAACACTGCCTTTATAGCACAAAAGAAGCCACAGATAATATGTACATGAATATGTTCAAATAAAACTTTATTTACAAAAACAAGAAGCTTACCGGATTGGGCTTATGGTCCTTAGTTTTTCAGCCCTTTTTCAGACTAATTTTTATTTACAGATAAATTTTAAAAATAAATTATTTTAAAATCTAAATTAGTTCCTTCCTGAGTAACACAAGCTTAAATACACATAAAGATGTATTTATCCAACTTCCAGGAAGAAAATGCTCATTTGGTCTGGTTTGTCCAGACTGGCATCTAAAACTAGGTCATTCCCAAGTCTCCAGTATCTTGGATTGTGCAACTCTGTCTTAAGTATCCCATGAGTTAAAATAATACAATACAACAGCAAAATAATACAAAGTTTACAACCCTTATTTCCGTGGGCAATTTCATTTTATTTGATTCAATGAGAAGAGGATTTGAACGTTGCTTAGCTTGACATGTACACTTGTACCAATTACTGACCCCCAAAATATTTAAAGAGGCTTCTTATATACCTCTGAATTACTGCTTCTAGCCTAATTTGTTTCTTTCCTCTGAGCAATTTATAAAATATAAACCATTTTTGCCTTTTTCAAACTAGTTTTTCTTGTACACATATTAGGTATTTGTTGATTGTAACCTGGATTATATAGTTTACAAAGTGTTTGCTGTTATCATTGGTATATTTAACAGATTACACATCCTCTGAGATACACCCAAATTTTTTAAATGAGCATTTTAGTGTATCTTATTTATTTCCAGAAAGATTCTTCAAGCTCTATTAGGGGAAAGGGCTTTGTTTCAATGTAAATCATATTTGTGTGCTATAACAATAACATAATGGTAATAATAATGTTATTTGAATTTAAATCAAACAAGTCAATTGTAATTAAAGTTTATGTGTTTAACTGACTAGTTTGGCCTAATGTCTCATTTTAATTCTGCTATTTATAATGAATAGGTAGGAGTTTCAAAGAAAGACAGGGTTACTGATATGAATAAATGATTCTTATATTTTTCTATGCAGGCTGATGTAAATTAATACTGAACCTAAAATTTTACAGAAATGTAAATCACTAGCTACCATTTATGTGGTGATTCCTATTAAAGTCCTATTCTGTATAGAATGAATGGTAAACTGGTAATGCACTGAAGCGTGCTCAGTCCCCAAATGTACTGCAGATACTGGGTTACACAACCAAAAATTACTATTAAGACACAATGACTTCCACAAATAAAAACAGATAAGAGGGGAGGAAATGTTGCCAGAATTGGTTACATTGTATTAATCCACTTAAATCTCCTACATTTAAAAAGAATTTCTATGTCTTTAGGAAGCCTTTAACATCATTTCTGGCTTCGTTGGGACTCCCAAAGAGCTATGTGGTAGCAATAAAAAGCTCTTTACCACAGGGATCCCTACAATTAAGAAAAGCAGAGATTGTAAACGTTTGCTAGTTTTGAAATATTAGCTTGCCTCCTACTTAAATCCAAACAAAAGCACACTATGGCTCTAGGTCAGCCCAATACAGACAAGACCCGAGCTCTGATTTGCCCCATACAAGGAACTATAATGGAGTGGAAGCAGCAGCTACTTAATATATGAGTTAAAATTACCCGTGACTGAAATGAGCACATCAATCAAAAGTTTTGGCATGTAATGAGCCAAACAAACCAGTGTGGTGAGCTTGAAGTCAGGAAAAGCCTCTATTCTGTATTCAAAAGTTTTCAAATTACCATGACATCCCTTTGCATACACCACCCGACTTCCAGCAGGTGGATTTTCGAGGCATTGTGCTTGGAACACAAAGATGGATCAACTAAGAGCATTTGAGATAGTTTCCTGTTTTGTGTTCAGAAAACTAGGTCTGCATAAAGCCTCCCGGATTCTTAGCATTTTTTAGGTGTTGGGCAAGGGATAAATATACATGACTGAGAACAGAAAATTAAACAGTGATGGAACAGAAACAGCTATAATTGCTGATATATGTTTCATGTAAAAATTGCACATCCATTCTGACCATCTCAGCATAAATGTAACTTGTTAATTTAGGTAATTCCACTTCAAAGTGCTACCATGTCTTGTTGTCTTTATCAATTTCAATTAATTTCTAAATATCTTGAAAAATTAAGGGAGCCTTTCTTAATAATTATATGTTTAAGCAGCAGTTTTGTGCCAGCATGTCTAGACAGACTGTACAGTACAGAGTAATTGTAGTACACATCTCATTTCTCACTCCTGATTTCAGTTAGTAATCTGAACGTATTATGCCCATAGCTCTGCATAATCACTTCCAACTACAGTTTCTTTGAGAAGCAACTACAGAAAACCCCGAAGTAGAATTTTATTCAATAAGTATGAATGTGCGGAAATATTACTAGATAATTCTATCAGTTTTCTAGTTTTATTTAACCACAGCATAATGCAAAGAAGTGTGGCATTTTATTTCCTTCGAATATTGTATCCATTGTTAATTTTATTAACTAATCATTTAAAATAACTCAGTTTTAACTTATTATTAAGATATTTTAGAAAACATAACTTCCAAACTATTATAATCACAGAGTAATAGAGTCATGTCTGTCTAACTACAAAGAAAACTAGGAATCTTCTAGGTGCAAAATACATGATAAAATGTTTTTGTTAGAGGGTTAGAGAGTAAACGAACTTTGTTAATTCAGTGGCGAATGAAAATTTTTAAGTAGTTCTATGTTAATTCTATAAAACTCGCTGGTAAATGAAGAGTGTAGTTCAATAAGTCTACGGTTATACCACCCTGAACGTGCCTGATCTCATCTAAATGGACCTTTGACAGAAAAAAAGAAAAAAACACTATGTTTCTGAAATTATTACCCACTAAATTGACTAGCTGAGATGACTTCAGGAAAGCATATAAATGACTTCAGCTATCAATGTTTCAGACTTGGAATGATAATTTCCTCCCGTAGCGCCTCTTTTTTTATTTTTTCTCTTGTTCTTCAATAATTGTGTGTTATAATTATTTAAAAATATATATGCCTAAGAGGTCCAGGATATGTATAACTTCTGTTAATAAGACTGCCAGGAACAGTTTTTAAAGAGATATTTAAAGTGCTTTAGTTATATTCACTATGTAACCACTCTACTATGCCATTTCATATTATACAGTGATAGAATAATCTTAAACCTATAAGCATTCAGAAAAGCACAGTACAAAGTTTACAAAGTATTTTGTACAATAGTTTCTGTATTCCCAACAATATGTTGTTATGCTAACAATATGAAATTTATGATTTGACTTTAGCATTTGCATAAGACATACATAGTTATAATACAAAACACATTTTTATTATGATATGAAAGTTAATTACCAGAAAGCAAAAAAAAAAAAAAAAGATACATGAGAATTGTTGAGAAGTGCAAATAAAGAAGCTGAAGTTTCAAAATCAAAAGTTCTCACCTGCTGAGTCGAGAGAGGAAGTAGAGGTTAAAGAATATGGCTTCTAGTCTTTGTTCTGCCTTCAGTTTATTTTCTAATGACAATCGAAAAAGTAAAAACATTTAAACTTGGAGAAGATATTTTGAAATATGGAGTGACAACAGATTAGTATAATGAATACATAAAGCATTTGTAAAATCTGTACAAAAAATTTAAGGCAATAAATGGTCAAAAGACATGAATGAGTATACCATCAAAGAAAAACATACATAACATAAATAAGTACATATGAAAAGAAATTTAATCTCACTAATAAGCAAAGCAACTTAAACCAAGACCACCATTTATTCCATTTTATGGTCAATTGGTTGGAAAAAATAAGTTTGACGATTGCATGTGGTGTGGAAGGTATATATTCACAAGCTCTCATTTATTTGTGGTAATGCTAACTGGTACACTTTGGAAAATATTTTAAAATTATATTGCAAAACTAAATATTTGCAAAACTTATGATGTAGCAATAAAGCCCACAAGAATATATCTAAGACAAACTTTGGCACATATGTACCACAAAATAATGCAAAAAAAGTGTCTATAGCCCATTATTCATTATAGCAAAGCACGGAGAACAAAATTTTCACTAGCAGAACTCATTAATACACGTTGATGTATTGAGCAAAGAGAATATTATACAACAACGAAAATGAGCCACAATGAAACCAATAACATGGATGAAACTTAAGAAAATATTGACTGAAAAAAAGTGAGTTTAAGGAGTTAACATGTAGTAGAAAAAAACTAATATGTTATTTAGTAACAAAACTAAAAAGAAAACACAAAGGAAAAAAGAAAATGCAAGAGAATTTTAAAAATAAATATTAGAACTTTGGGAGACAATATAGGTAGGGAACATATGAGGAGAGGTAAGTTACTGGTAATAGTCTAGTGCTCCAGTTAAATAAACACATAAAATAGAAGATGACCTTGCAATGACAACTGGTAACAGTGAGTATGAACCAATAATTATGATCAATCAATTCTGTGAACTTTAGATCCTTAGTAAGAAAAATTAGCAATGGCTGCATATATTAGTCAGCTCAGTCTGTTATAACAAAATACCACCAACTGGGTAGCTTAAACAAGTGACATTTATTTTCTGGCCATTTTGGAGGCTAGAACTTGACAGCCAAGGTTCTGGTAAGTTCAGTGTTTTTGGTGAACTCTTTCTTTCGGCTTACAGATTACTGCTTTCTTGCTGTCTTCATGTATCCTCTTCATGTGCTCATGAAGAAAGAGAGCTCTCTGATGTCTCTTCCACTTTTTATAAGGACACGAATTCTACTGGAGTAGAGCCACATCCTTATAACCTTATTCAACTTTAGTTGCCTTTTTAAAAGCCTTGTCTCCAAATACAGTCACATTGGCATTTATGGGCTTCAACATATGAATTATGGGGGGACACAATTTAGTCCACAAGACTACATAATGGTGACAATATGACACTCAAATTTATTTGTATACATCTAACAATTTAAGAGATAAAACATTCTGTATAAACTTTTAAATTTATGTTACATATTAATATAAATATTTTTACAATAAAAGTAAAATATTTTACATATTAATATAAATATTTTTACAATAAAAACTAAAATATTTTACATATTTTGTAATTATTTCTAAAATAAAATAAGTAGTTAAGTTTTTCTCATTTTCTAAGTATATTGCCCAATGTGCAGGACAGAAAGAATGAAGACATGGCAATATTAGCAAATGATTTGAGTTTTTTAAAACTAAAGATATTAAAAATTTACAATTAAATAAATGTTACTTCCATCTGAGTTACTGTATTTAAATAATGCATATCTTCAAGAAAGGGTAAATAATTTTTTATAATGGCAATTGTGTTTAAAAAATAGAGAAAAGTTAACTAGAGCAAAGCCTTATAAATAAGAATATAACTATGCAGAAAATCTCCCTTTGAAGTAAAAATATATATATAAATAGTAAACTAAAACTTTATTTTGACTTCGTTATTAAATTTGTTTTCCTAGGCAACTAATTTCAGGGAAATGGTTGAATGACAATGTCTTCATTTTGTTTAAAACAAGACTTCATACTTTGTAGATACAACTCATACAGGAAAATAGTCACTTTACCCTAAACATAGTCATTCTATAAAGTCCTTCATCTATGGCAAGGAATAAAATAAAGAACTAATGTTTCTACTTATATTTGAATTTATTTACTTTGTAGTTTTGGAAATTTCTGAACAAAAGGTGAAATTGTATTTTCCTCCAATTTCACAGATTTTCAACTTTGATGCTTTTACAATCATACACACTTAACAGAATAAAATTATAACACTTAAATATCACAAAATTAAGCCACTGTGTCTATTTTTTAAAGTTTATTTAGCATCAACATAAGCTGTTTAGAAAATCTGAATAGGATATTTTTGCCTTCATTCTTATTTTCTTCTTTAACTCCCTAGAGGTACCTTGTCTAGGATGCATAGTTATGTATTTCTACAAACAAGGAAGCACATATAATTATCTATAAAATTTACAGCTCATCAATCTAGCTATTTTTCTGTTGTTTTCCTTTTCATTGCAGCTTTGAAAGCTTAACAGATCACATAAGAATACTTGGCTATTCTTACAACTTTTTGAATTTGGGTCATGGCCCCGGACTTCACTCTGAGTGTTTTTCTGCTACACCTTTTATAACATTAGTTATGCAAATATGGACAGCAAAAACAAAGGTTTTCTATTTAGAGAGTTGTATCATAGAATTCTTTCCCATATTTACTCGGTACATCCATTCTCATGAAAGTCTCAGTGAGGTCAATGAAAATTCTGAACATGTGAAGTTTATGCTGGGCTGCTCTAGATTGGCATCCACAGAGTCTGCTCAAGGGCTGGTAGGAGCAGCAATAAAAACTCATTAATGATGGAGTCCCAGTCCAGAGCACGACAAGACCTGGGCTGCATGTTGTACAGTGCCAATATTTGCATCTATGGGACTTCCAAAATGGGGGGAGGTGAGTGCAAAGGGTGACAATGACTGAATTAATAATCAAGACTGAAAGAATTCACAAGGTGAACAGTATGTTTGTAAGGTGGGAGCCTGATTGAGAATAGCTTTGAAATTTAATTAATAAAAGTAATCAGGAAACATTACCTACCATTTTCTTGGCTTTTTCACAAATTATGATACGATCAAGTTCTGTGAACAAGCTGATTGCCAATAATTTCATTCCAACACTCTAAGGTTGAACCTAAGGTTTTCAGAAGCATAGGAGTCTACGTAGTGGCTGTGTTATGTACATACTTCCATGATGAAATCTTTATGAGTTTTTTTCACTGTTCTGTGACTTAGTCATCTAATTCAACAGTAATGACACTTGCCAAGCGTGACTTCCTCTCACATGAAGGCACCTGGAGACCCAGGTGTGCTTCTGCAACAGAACTGTGAGAATTGGTTACTTCTTAATTTGACCAGGTTCAACTTCAAATTAAGAAGTAGGCAAAATTTGTTATTAGTGCTCTACCACTCTCCTTTTTTTCTGGTAGTTCACATCTCCTAGCATTTAATATGCCCTTTTTTTTTTCTGTCTCAGATAATTGTTAAATAAGTCACACTAAAGAAAACCTTTTCTAGATGTAATGAAGCTATGGGCTCAAGATTCAAAGAAAGAGATGTGTATTCCAAACATGTCAGAAAGTGAGTGAGGTAGCCACCCCTCAGATTACCCCATGTGGAGAGATACGATTCTGCTTTGAAATAAGGTAGACTCCTTCGTAAGAATGATATGAGCCCTCTAAGCCAGCCTCTCACCAAACTAAGGAATCCTTTCAGTGACCATCTGGACAGTTGTCCTGCCACAAACTCATTGATTCATAAGCCAAGTAGTTTTACTAATTGAGGGCTCTAACCAGAGCTTTCATTTTTATATTAAATGGAAATTTATTTATCATTATTTTCTATTTTTCTGTACTGCCATATTTGAGTCATAAAATATGCTTATTCCTCTTTTCCTTAGTAGAATGGATTTATTCATTTATTTGAAGAAATAAATCATAATAAAGCATGGTTTTCTGAGACTAAGTAAACATAAAGGAAATATACCTGGACTTGATTTGCATAATGTTAGGGGACAAAACTGTAAGAATGATATTTAAAAATTAATCATACTTAAACCTGAATATTAGCCTGATCAAAATAAGACACTGTTCAGAAATTGTCAGAATTTTTTTAACCAAATGGAATAATGACAATAATCTCAAAAATAACTCTGAAATCAAATAATTATGCATCTTGTTCTAAATATATTACATATATTAATCCATTTAATCTTCATAAAATACCCTGTGAGTTAGGTATTATTATTATCTCCTTTTTTCTACAAATGAGGAAAATGAGGCCCAGAACAGTTAAAAAGCTTGCCCAAGGTGCAAAGTAGAGAATTGAGATTTATTAAATTATTTAAAGTTAAAATTGTATTTTAAAATACAACAAACAGCCTAAATATGAAAGGTCAATGACAGTAACAGTTATTCTTTCATACTTTTTTTTGTTATTTATTTACAGATACTACCATGTATAGCAGGCATAAGTTAAATAAAAAGCCATTATGGTGAAAAAGGAAAGTATATTTTCATCAAAGAAAAAGGTTGAAAAGAGAATAAAGAATTTAAGTAAAATGTTTTGTGTAGTTTTAGAAAATGCTTCTATTAATTGCTATCCAGAAGGCATCTATTAAGATTGTATAAAAGTAAAGATGCAACAAACAATTTGGGTGTCTAATTCTGATTAGACTAATGTTCAGGTTTAAGCATGGTTGATTTTTAAATATCATTCTTACCTATACAGTTTGGGCCCCTAATTATAACACTCAAGCAAATGATAAATCCATGTACACTTCCTTCATGTTTGCCTATCCTCATAAACATTTGAATAGATAGTAAAAGCAAAAGGCTAAAAAGGCTTTCTAACCTAAATATATTAATCTTTCATATACTTCTGAGAACAATAAAGCAGGATTTAAAAAAGATGTATTGTGTATAAGGTTGAATTTTTGAATTATTCTTTGAAAATATTTATAATCAATGTATTAATATAAGCATGCTATTTTCTACTTATGAGATTATTTTAGAAATTGACAATTTTTAACTTACCATCAATAAGTATTGACTTTTCACATAGTGAAGATAAGTTGCTCTAATTTATTCCTAATCTTCTCTAGTATTGGCAATAATGAAGAATAAACATGCCAGTGCAGGATAACAGCCAGAATAAATGGGTGAAAATAAACCTAGAAAAATTAATGTGTTGGCCTTGGCTTCAGCATCGTCACACTTTGATTTGTTAAACTATGGTTGTAAAATATAAATAGTTTATATGAATATATCACATAAATTCACTGTTCACACTTTTATTTCTTTATTATTTCAAAGAATAGTTACTGAGGCTTACCACATGCATAGCAGGTATCATTTACTGATAGTACAAAAAATTTTGCACATGATGCTGCTTTCTGGGTTGTCAGCATTAACTGGAACCTGGCCTTTGCCCTTAGGAAGATTACAATTAACTAGAAAATAAAATCATATAAAAATATATGCAGAAAATCATAGTATATGGACAAGAGGCTAGACTATAGTATAGGCAGAATGCTATAATTCTGTGATAGTAGAGAAACACTTCACCAAGGAAATACCTTTTGAATTGATCTTAAAAAAATAAATGAATATATTGAGTGGAGAAGTTAGAAAATGACTTTTTATTGAGTGGAGGTATCCTGTGCATGGAAAGACAAAAGGGCATGAGAAGTGCCTGGAAAGGTAAATGCTGCAAATACACAGGTAGTATGGGTGGAGTTGTCTCAGTGAACAGTGAACTTTGCGAATAATCCTATTACTTATGACATCAAATCTATTGTTTCTAAAAAGCACCATTATTTACTACTGAGAAAGAAAAAAAAACTGTCAGTTAAACTATAACACAATGTTCCTTATCACTGGCACGTTGGCCAATGTATCTACCTCCCTCTACATATAGGTAAATGGGTAGGTAGATAGATATATCTAGATAGCTAATTATACTTGTTGAAATAACTCTTTTTTTTTTTTTGAGGTAGGGTCTCTCTGTCATGCTGGGGTACGGTGCTGCAATCTCAGCTCACTGTAACCTGGACTTCCAGGGCTCAGGTGTTCCTATTACCTGAGCCTCTCAAGTAGGTAGGACTATGGGTGTGCTCCACCATGCCTGGCTAATTTTTGTGTTTTTTTTTGTATACGTGGAATTTTGCCATGCTGCCAAGGCTCATCTCTATCTCCTGGCCTCAAGCGATTTGCCTGCCTCAGCTTCCCAAAGTACTTGGATTATAGACGTGAGCCATCATGGTTGACCTGAAGAAACTGTTTTAAATATCAAGTGTTGATTTTTATCATGTACAAATTTTATACATACATAAAAATTCATGAGTAAAATAAATTTGTTAAGGTATTTTAAAATCACTTTTATGTTCAGAGCCCCTCTAGCCAGCTGTTCTTTTTTTTTTTTTACTACTTTAAGTTCTAGGGTACATGTGCACAAAGTGCAGGTTTGTTATGTATGTATACATGTGCCTAAAACCATAAAAACCCTAGAAGAAAACCTAGGCTATCCAGCTGTTCTATCAGAACAGCTTTGACTCATAGTCATCAATATCAATGTTTTCTCCTCTATGGTATCTCCTTTTATCATTGAGTATTTTCTAAAAGAGTGTTCCACTATGGTCTGAAGGATTTTCTTCCAGGCCTTGACACTTATTCCACAAGTTTAAGGCACTTATGAAGACAAAATAACCATGTCAAAACTGCTGCTGTCCACATCCTAATTCAGAATGGTACAATATGAAAAAGTAGATTTCTAACAGTGAAGAGTCTTAGAAAAACATATTATTATTTTCTCAATAGCATTTTATTGCATATATTACCATTATTTGACAACTTTAGGAAATAATTGCATTTCAATTCATATTTAACACAAAATATATATATTTTCTCACTTGGAGCAGCTTTGCATGATTTTATGGTCACAAATACAAGTGATTGGGTTTTGGTATCTTTGATAATATTCATGTTCCCATATTTTACTTACTCTACTCCATTGATATAAGACAGGCATTTTGCGTTTTTCATAACTAGATTTACCTTTTGTTTTGTGACAATACTGTTATTGATAAAGTATAGAAGAATATTCTCTAAAACTTCCAATTATTTAGAAATCAAATTTTTAAAATGGAAGAATCTCCTGAAGGTCAGCAATTTTGATGCCTACTTGATACAGTTAATAAAAATGGGCTAGCCCAGCAACTACAATCTATCAAAGCAAATTCTGTCTCACTTTTTGATGAGGAAAAACTTCAAGATGTCATTTTCTCTATGATTTCGTTGTATTGTGAAGCTCCACAATACAAAATGCATGTTATTTACTCTTATCCTGAGGTCATGTAGTCAGTAATATGATGAAGAGTGTTGGAAAACAAACTAAAGGTGTGGGAATAAGTTTCATAAGACTCCTTCAATTATTTAAATCCATGTTTCTAAATTGCACGCATGTTTAACTGTATTACATCATTTCTACATTGAAGATAAGATTGTTGCGAAGACCAAATAGGTAGATACACAGACAGGCAGATAAAAGAAGACAAAATAACAAACAAATGAAGCCCTCCAGGGTTTTGTTTTGGCAAGCCAAACGTCACACAATATTGAAATTATTGCATAGAGACATTAAATGATGCCAAATGCATAAGAGGGTATTATCCACTCCGAGCTGAATGCTCTGTTTAAAATATAAAGGTAACACAACAATAGCAACAAGAACATTAGCATTATATAGACCTTAAAACACATAAGAATAATAAATTGCAAAATATATAGAATATTCTTTATTAATATAAAGAATAATAAATTGCCAACTATTAATTGTTTTTTGATAGTAAAACAGAGGATTATAAATATTCCTGTTTAATACTTGATCTCAATATTATAATTTTGCCACATGCTAACTTTTCTTCACAAATTCAAATTTGAATATATGGGGTTGAATACATATAAAATACATGTTCTAAAAATTCTCTCTATAGAAAACATTTTTAGTATTATTCATTTGAATGTTACTGAGTTTTAATTTATTCCAAAATATTTTAATTGGAATAATCTCCAACTTAAAGATACTTTATATAATTTATCTCCTTTTCTAAGTAGAAAATGTATGGACACATCAACAAAATGTTGTTACGAATTCTATTTAGGTGATAATTCAAAAAACAAGACAAATTAATGTTTTGAATAAATACTGTGCTTATCCTATTGTTTCTTCTTAGTTTCATTATTGATTCATCCCAATAATTTACTTATCTTGATTAGATTAGTAAAACTAATATCTTTGGGAAGTTTCTATATTTAAATATTTTTGTTTTGTTATATAAGTGTCATAATTAAAAAGACATAATATTTCCCTAAAAATATATTACAAAACAATTCAGACACAGTAAAATGGCAATTTTTTTCTCAGAATAAAACAAACTTAAATATATAAATTATTATTAAAAATTTCACAGGAATTCATAGTAATTTTTATTTTTAAATTTCACACACCATATGCTAATTTTATATTGAGAGCCGTGTGTCTGGCTAAGAATCAAGGTGATTCTGCTTAATAAAATTTTGCCAACTAAACTACTAAATTACCCAACTTTGGGCCTTGTTAAATTCAACAACATTTGTTATAATTAACCCATGTAATTAGTATATTTATGAAAAAGTTACATTAAAGGACTGGGAATTAAAAACAGTAAAATTAAATATAAAACAGCAAAAAATCATAAATATTTAATTTTTGACAATAAATTCGCAAATATCTGACTAAACCATATTCCAGGTACAATTTCTAACAGCTTTGTAAAAGCTAAAGGGAGGTCGCAAATTGAGAAGGATAATTGAGTTCAAAAAAAGCAAAATCAGGCTATAACAACAGGCGTCATTTTCAGTAAAGTGTAAGTGCCTGATATTTAGAAATCTGCAGATAAAAATACTGAAATACAGCAAATAATTCAGTCAGAAATCAGAGGATATGTGATGAGTGGGTGACTATGATGGGAAAGGTATTTGAGTATGTGGGGAGACAGTGTGATTCTAAAGTATGAAAGGAAATGAAAAATCAAATGAAACAGACTAAGCCTCCACTCTCCTTTCTTTCAGAAAGAAGCCTGGGATGATAGAGTTTATTTTACTTTTGGCTTTGATGTCATAATCATCCGCTGAAGCTCCACCGTTAAAGAGTAAATCTGCTTAACTCACAAAAAAAGGAGGAAAATTGCACAGAGGCACTTGCTTCTCTTGCCTCAATGGCCACCCATTTGAATTACAGAAGTGCAGTATTATGTCACTTTGGTATTACGGGTGCCATTTCAAAAGCCAAAAGCCTACTTTTTAAAATATATCTTAATCAATTCAAATAGAAACAGCAATTATTTGCCATTAAATGAGCATTGTGTGTGTGTGTGTGTGTGTGTGTGTGTGTGTGTGTGTGTCTGTGTGTCTATGCGCGTGCGTGCATGCATGAGCAGCATTAAGAAGGCATTAAACAGCGGAAGAATGTCAATGTATCTTCAAGCTGCAACTTCCCAACTGCAAAGAGCTCTTAAACTTTGCATCTACTTCCCTCTCTGAAGAAATGTTTTGCATTAAGAGTTCAGTCCTAAAGGATATCTCTTAATTTGTCCTTCTTGTGGCAGATAAAAGGATAATTAAGTTAATCTTGTGAAATAAAGTGGAAATATTTTACCAATGATTAATTTTATGTCAAATCAATGTGGTTTTTATTATTCAATGTTTTTAAAAAGTGAAAACCTGAATATTCATTCATTTATTCTTGATCTTGGCTTAGCTGGCTATGGAATAATTTATTTTTACAAATGATGCATGGCATATTTCTGATCAGAACAATTTTAATATCAGTAAAAGGAGCTTCCCCCTCCTTACATTGTTTTTTCATTTTTTGTTGTGTTCTACTATTATGCAGCTGGATGTCATGTCAAAAATTTCACAATTTCAAGAAAAAATTGAGAGTCCACATAAGTGGCCCATATCATTTCCTCTGCAAGCATTTTCCACTTGAATTCAAGTTTTCTTTGAATTATCTCATATATCCTGTAAGAATTTTTAAATGCATAAAGAAAGATAAAAAATCCCACTTTATTAGTTTCATGTCAATACTACTTTGTTGTATCATAATGGGTATTACATATGTTGAAGAAACCCCACAGGAAATTGTGTCAGTCTATTTTGTGTATAAAAATACTTAAAGCTTGTCCTATTAAGAACAGGGTATCTGAACCTCTATTTAAGTGGTTCCCTGCTGCTGCTCTGGCACTTACCCTTTTAATAATAATAAAGAGCTCCTCAAAAAAAAGTCCTTTCAAAGATTATTTTAAATCAGCTTTCACAGTAAAACATTCAAAAACCAGTATGTGTTATATTGTAAGTCATCATGCAGGCAGTAAAGACATTGCTGCACTGAATGTTCAATGTTTATTTTGTATGAAGTGGATAACCTTGGGTTAATTTTCAATCCTTTAGTAATGTGATAAAGTCCGTTCGATGTAACCTTTCTGATATAATGGATTTCAGTAGGGTGGGTGTTTTTCTTACTGCTGTGTCTCTAGTTGTCATTTCTTTGCATCTGATGATGAAAGATATTTTGATCTTGTCTCCAAATTTAATCACTTACATGATTTAAAATGGGTTAGGTCACTTGCTATAATAAGGTAAAAACATGATTACTTTTTTTGTCATTACGTAAAGATATATTATTCAGTAAATTAATACAAACCACTTTTTAAGCCTCCTAAAGTATGTAATATTCACTAATCATCTTTTGGTCTGTCTTAAAACAAACTCATCTAATGCATTTCAACATAACCATTCCTTTGTTCGTAAAATCTATTATCTCAGAGTTTCTAATTACAACTTGTAAATTACAAATTTAGGTAATGCATCCAGAAATAAGAAAGGTATAGTAAGAAAATGAGATACTTCTTACCAAATGAGGATGAATTGTTTTCATACCTTGATCACTAGAAACAGTACCTGCCTTCCTTGACATAATTTGTCAGAGATTGCATTTTTCTTGCATGTGATACCATGATAAGTTTTAAAACTTTGTCGATGGGTAAATCCTTAAAAAGGAAGCTTTAAATCATATGTTTAAAGGGATCCAGTTCCCATTGTAAGACTGCCCACACTTTTTGCACACCAAAAGGGGATGCTATTCACTAACAGGAGAAAGGCTTGACACAGCAAACAGTGTGAATCACAGTTCACCCAGGGGTTGTGCAGCTGTGAGGGCAGAACACCTTCATAAATCAGGACATTTGGGGCTTTCTTCCTTCCCTCCATCTCCACTTTTTAGGTAATTACACATTCTGAGTTGCAAAACAGTGTGCACTGTATCTAAAAGTCATGAGTTCTGCATTCTGTACCCCATCCCTCACCTCTCACTTCAACCTAGCTCATGGGAACAGGGCCCTTATAGATTTGTTAATATGAGCATTGTAAGCAAAATAAAATTTGTAAATTAGATTAACAACAGTTAAATCTCCTCAAATAAATTTTCTGCAAATGTGCAGCGGTTTAAAAGCCACAGTGCTTTCTCTCTCTCTTTTTTTTTTTTTTTGGTTTTTTTTTTTTTTTTTTTTTTGAGTTTTGCCCTTGTTGCCCAGGCTGGAGTGCAATGGCGCGATCTCAGCTCACCACCACCTGTGCTTCCTGGGTTCAAGAGATTCCCCTGCCTCAGCCTCCTGAGTATCTGTCATGTGCCACCACGCTTGGCTAATTTTGTATCTTTAGTAGAGAAGGGGTTTCTCCATGTTGGTCAGGCTGGTCTTGAAGGGCTGACCTCAGGTGATCTGCCCGCCTTGGCCTCCCAAAGTGCTGGGATTACAGGCATGAGCCACCACACCCAGCCCATAATGTTCTTAATATGCAGTACTGCTTTTCCAATGGTCTGAGGCCTAGGTTGGAAAAATCATGGTAAGTAGAGGATATACAACTGCATTGATGTAATATTTGTTAGATAGATGATAGATAAATAGATAGATAGATAGATAGATAGATAGATAGATAGATAGATGAGAGATAGATGTGAAAGGCAATCAGAGAGGAACCATGAATGCTCTAATATTGTTAATTATTATTGACAGAGAATTGCAGTTATCAGGCAGGTAGGAGAAAAATAATGGTCTTAAATGTCATATTCAAGCATTTTTCCACTGAGCTTCATAATAAGAGACATGACATGACTGTGTCTGAACTTTAGAGAGACACATCTGGAAGCAGTTTGCATAATCGTTTGGTGGGATTGATAAGGAGAATGTAGGGAAGCTAGCAAGAAAGTAAAAGTGGAAATACAAATCTACAGTTATGAAGACCTAAGTTAGGAATTCTGCAGTAAAAATGGAGAGGAATCAACAAAACTGGTAGCATCCTATGGGATGCAATAAATAAATTTTGGGACTAGTTAGAAATTGGTTGCAGTAAGGGGGAGGGTTATTTTGTTGGATTATTTGTTTTGTTTTTCTTATATCCAAGGGTTTTGGAAAGGGAAAATAAAAATTATGCTGTGAGTGATGGCTTTAAGCTTTCTGGCTTGGAGATCTGAGAGGAAGGTGATCGTAATTGAGACACAGGACATATGTACACAGAACAGAGTTATATGAGAGAAAACAAAGACAGTTATTTTGAAAACATGATCAGTTATTGCACTCAATAATGTCATATTGATGTAATATTACCTTAGTGTAATATTACATTACAATGATGTAATATTAATGTAATGTAATGTAGCAATAAGAAAAAGTGTACTATTTATTTTATTCAGATCATTTTATTCTTAACATTGTGTTTCTTCTTAGCGCTGATGCCTGCCTGCTCACTAGCCAGTGGTGACACTCTCCTGTCCTCTTTTTCTAAATCAACTAACTTCCAATAGACTCCAATCACATGAGGCACATTCATTCTCTATATGCTTATTTATGGACTTCCATGTATCTGTATTTTTCTGTCTAGTTAAACCCTGCCAATCCTTTGAGCTCTGATAAAAAGTGTTCTCTTATTTGTGGTTATTCCTTCCTGCTCCCTTCATCTCCATGTCTATAGCACTTGATTCACACTGCTGCTCTAGCACTATCTCCTTATGTTGGTAGGAGTCATTTTTTCAGTCCCTTTCTCCACTCTTGTCCAGCAGACAGATTGTGAGGACTTCAGTAATAGAGGCTGTCTCTCATTCGCACTTGTATGTCTGACCATTATACAAATACCTATGAGAGGACCTCAATAATTTTCCATTGGGTTGAATTGAAGAGATAAAATATGTGGCTCAACTGGCATGGGCATTGAAAATTAATTTAATAACTAATTAAACAACCTACGAATATATTCCTTATCCTCACATGAAAGCCAGAAGTCCTCAGGGGTTTTCCTACCCATTGAGATGCAGCTATTTGCTTCGAGGATGCTCCTTCCTTATATCATGCCCGCTGGAATTCCAGAGCATGCTGCAAGTATTCTCTATTTAACTGAAGGTCTTAGGATAACCTTATATTCTCATGTTCAACTCTGGAGAAACACTATTTTCTTTATTGATTTAGTTCAGTTGTTAGCTCATGTCACTACCCCCCACATGTTGCTTATGTTCTGAATTGCTTGGAACCCAGGCATAAAACTTCAGTTGGGTTTCATAACAAGTCTAACCATTATCAAATGTGTGCATATGTGTGTAATGGGCTACATTAATGGATGTGAGGCTAAGTTGGGGTGCTAATTTTGCAGACGCAAATTACCTTAAATCTAATGTTTGACTTTACTCATAGTTTTTCTAAAAGCCTGAATCAACTAACAGGTATATTTTAGTGATCACTTCACAACACACTGTCCTAGCTTCACACCACCTTATTGGTTCCCTGATAGATTTCTCCTCCTTCTGCTTTACTACTTCCCTTCAGCTCTTTCTGTCTTGGTTATTCAACATGATCCAGTTGTAACAGCACTTTCTGTCCACTTTTGCTGCTCAGATCCACTCAAGAAGTATGATTGTATACAGGAGGTGTTTTTTTTTTCTCAATAACTTCCCTATATTCAAATTATATTTTCTTTAGTAAAGAAGGTAAAATGTGATTGTTACAAAATTAGCCTAGACATTTTTCATTAAATGGTAGGAGTAGAAGTAGTATAAGTTCTCTTATATTTCTCAATAATATCACATATAGTTCATATTTCTGCATTCTCTGAGAATTCTTCAATTTTATGCATTTTCTTTCTTAGTGTCGATTTGGCATTTTCTACAAAGTAGAGTTTTTCATCTTTACTTTCAAAATTATTAGGTATAAATGTAAAATTATTCAGTTTTCTTTATTAACCTCAACTTTGTAATTTAGCTTGTACTCCTCCCCTTTCCATAACCCATTCATTTACAAATGTACTCCCAACTAAGTTCAAGTATCCTTTTGCCTTGATCTTAGCTTTAAACTGCTTTACAATTATCTTCACTATAGAATCAGGAAACTAGCACTATTATCTTCTTGATTTCTTGACATTATCTATCCTCGTTTTTATTCTGACTCCCAAGGTTTATTATTTGTTTTGATAATCTTTTTTTTTTTTACTTTTACAAATAACACGTTGATATTAAATTCTTTATATAAGATTAAATATTCTACATCTCATATTTCAAGCACTCATCAAGAAAACTTTTCCACTGAGAAACCATTATGCTACTTGAAAATCTGAAATTATAATTTCTTTGTTTTTTATCAGTCTTGTTTTTCTTACCATTATTAGATCAATATCATCTTTTTGTGTCTTAAACATGTGGTTCACAGCCATGCCACTTCTCATACCACATTCCATGTATTCCTAACCCTGTTTCTTCCTTCACATTTCTAAAACACCATCCAAAACAAACACTTCTTTCTCCTTCTTCTTCTTCTTCTTTTAAAAACATGTTTTCTCTTTTCCCTGGGGGCAGATACTGTCTCTCACATGGTGGGTCTAAAATGTTTTGAGAACAGATACTATAAGAGAAATAATCTTCAAGACACAAAACTGTGGGGGGCACAGAATTTATTACTAGAATGCATCTCTGGACCTGACTGTTCCTCTACTCCTTTTATCCCTGACCTGAATGGCAGTTGGGCAATGTCTGTGTTTAAGGGAACTATGAGCCTTTATGTTCAGTACAATGCTTCACTGTCTTAAAGTGCTCACAGGTGCTTTTATTAGTTACTACGGATATTCTTTGTTGATAACTAAGATACTGATGTTAACAATAAAGCAAAAATATTGAATGCAACAGTGGCCACCAATCAGAGGAATATCCAATTTAGAGGATGCAGAAGCTTACCACTGTGCCATCAAAGTAAAATCTTTTGAGGTGAGTCAAGCTGGAAGTGGGGAAACTCTCACATCTCCACAATAAGAAGCTCACATTTTTAAAATAGGAGGCTCTAAATGTGTGTATCTTGAATGACGGTAAGGTCAGAGATATTGGAGAGGTTTAATATCTTTCTGAAAGTAAGAAAGAGAAGGCTGATGACATAAATTGTATAGGGAATCATTAATTCTGCTCACTTAGAATTCTGCTTCTTCCCCCTTGCAGGAACATGATAGAATTACACTTTCTTACACTTTTGAGGTTAGTTGTGGCCAGATGGCTTGCTTTGGCCAGTGAAATTCAAGTGACTGTGTCACTTCCAGATAACATTTTCATAGCTCATGTGCAGTTTCCCATATTCTTCTTTCCCTTCTGGTATGGAGATGAGAAACATTTGGGAGATCACCGCTCCCTCAACCCTGGGCCTCTAGGGACTTCATTAAGCCCTGAGCTCTGATGCCACAGAAGGACATGCAGAGTAAGTGAGATATCACTTTAAGTGGCTGGGATTTGGTGGTTATTTGTCACTGCACCATATTGTAGCTCAGTCTTTGCACAGGACACTGAATGCAAAAATATTCCACTATTTACTTTACATAGATTGTTAAGATAAAACAACAACAACAAAAACCTTTCCTCGAACTTGATATTTTTACGTGTTGAAAACCTAAAAAAGTATAAATTAAAATCTCTATTATAACCAAATCTACTTGTGGACAATATCATAATCAATCTACATTTGGTGCAGAAAATTTCTTTATAGCAATTTTCACTTTCCTTTGAAGATTCATACGTGGCTCAATCAGAACATTCAGGTAAAGCTCATGACAAATATTCATAAAGAATGGGTTTGCACTGAAAAACAAAGAGTTTTCAGTACTTGAAAAAAATTACCCATGAAGATACTTCATCAGTAACTGTAAAATATAAATTAATTGGGGAGCTAAGTCGAAAAGCCTTCCAAATTAAAATTTTTACCTAAATATCTATTTAGCATTATGAAACTGAATTCTGGAAAATAACATGCAATAAAAGTTTAGACTTAAATTCCTTCTAGATATTAAGATATTAGTCTTTAAATTTAGAAAATTTTAAAAATCTGTCTAAAAATGAAAATCATCTGCAAGGGCAAATAGTCATCTCCTACTCACTTTTTGTAAGTTTATTTCAAATATGTATTTATTTTTTAAATAAAACATTCAACTATTAATGTACTTATTAAGCAGGTATTGAGCAACTTTAGTTCTAGAATGTTAAGTGTAATGAGATATATATTATATAACACAAGCTACAATTTTAAGATGCTTACTATGGAAAAAATATAAGTGTCTAAAGAATTAAGGCATTGATATACATAACGGTGAAGGGGTATTCAGGGGAAAAAATTTTAAAAAATCACTAGCACATATTGTCAGTAGGTATCTAAACATGCTTAGGAAAAATATAGATCCTCTCATAGCCTAGCTCTAACATATTTCAGGAAATCCTTTTAAAATTGATAGAATAATGAAATAGAACATTAAAGTTAGTAAACAAGAAAAACACAAACATTCAGGTATTCATTCACATTTCTTTGAATATAATTTCTAAATGCATAGTGATATTCCTTTTCAATAAGTGGAATTATTTTTCATTGACTCTTCTAGGTAAATAGCCTGTAACAACTGTTTCTCTTTTTATAGATTCCTTAGACTACTCTGAGTAAATTCTGTGGGGTTAGTGGCTAAAGTTGTGCATTCATAGGTGCCTGACTCTTTTAGCTAGAGTAACTTTGCAGAATTACAGCACTTACTGCCACAATATACACAGTTAAATAATTTATACAATGTGGAAGAAAGCAAGTCTAAAACCGATTATCAGCTGGTAGGCAAATTCACTTGAATGTTGGGATCACTGTTGAATATTCAATTATATAGATAAAAAGAACATTAATAGAATTCTAAACATATATAACAACTTGCAGTTAGTTATTATTGTATATTCTAAAGGACCTTCCAGACTGCCTAAAGATGCACATTTAAATCAAATCAATCAAAATTAAAAGAGAAACATTTTACAAGATTTATGCATTAAATATCAAGTCATTGTATGTATTTTACTTTCTTTCCTTTTGTCCTAGTAGTTGTTTTTGGTAACAATTTGCAAGATACTCTAACTTATTAAAATTAAGATATATCTTATTTCTTCTGTATCAATTTCTTCCACATATAAATTCAAGAAAACTATTCTCACAGGTGGAATATAAGATTACAAAATATCTGACTGCTATGGAAAGGTTGTTTTCAGTAAAATAGAAAGGAAATGTTATTCCTTGAATTTTCTCAAGTCTGTATCTCTAAAGAGCTCAAACATAATGTGACAATGGAGAAAAATGCTCTTTGGCTTTACGGCTATGCTGAAGCTAGCCTGATGTTCTGTAAACAGAGGTGTGTTATTGATAAGTTATTGAAATATGTGTGCCAAACAGCCCAGAAAAACCACTATGCTTTCTGAAGAGAAGGTGGAAGGAAAGCTTGCTCTCAACCTAAACTTTCATTTGCTGGAGTTTGGACAGTTTCTTAACAAACAACAAATCATCACTTTCTATCCTTAGGAACTTTGTTATAAAGAAGTTTATTCAGTCTTATTTCAATAGTTTTTATTCTTGGTAATATGAAGGATGAATTAAGTTGATCACAAAAGACTTTCACTACTCTGAATTACCTGTTTCACCTTGGAAAGCCACACAAAATGAACCTCTTAAGCCTTTTGAAAATGACCTTTTTCCTCAGAAATGATTTATCTTTCCCCTCGAAAATCCGTTTTACAAAAGGGAGTATGATTAAAGGAAGCCAAGCAGCACAAACACTTGCTGAAGATCCTGCTTATCTGGAACTCACTTGACAATGTGTGTTTTTGGGGTTGGGAATGCTGCAGGTTCAAGGGATAATTCTGCCTTTCAGGCACTTCAATTTATTTCATGCCTGAGCACTGTCATTGTACGCAGACAAGATGAAACGCATCGTTGTGTAAAGAAATTGAAATGGAATCCTACTTGACCCAGCAGGATGGGGCATTATGTTTGACTCAGTAGTGATTCCTGGGATAATATCTAATTCCAGGAGGAAAATTTCTTGATATGGCCACCTGCTGTGAACGGCTTTGTCCAGGGATCACAAGTTGTTCTGGGTGACTAGGCTCAGGACATGCCTAGAAGAATGCAGCTCGTCTCCTGCTGGCATTTAGATCTCTTCATTTTCTCGATGCTTTCTATTCAACAGGAACAACTGAATGGAACAGGGGGGTTGGGAGAATATGAAGCACTCCATACTCTAGCAGCAATGAGAGTCAAGGCCCGCTTGACCCGAGATTCTTATTTATTTAATTTTTTAGAGAGCCATCATTATTTCTTCACAGGGCACTTTTTAATTTTTACACTTCTCGGGCCAGCCCCCTTGCATGTCTTTCTCTGTTCAGTGTGTGTGAAGTATTTACTTTGAAAAGGCTGCACACCAATAGATTAAATAAAATAGGAACATTCTGTCTCACAAGAGAGAATCGTGCAGACAGCTTTATTACTTCTATCAGAGAACAAAGATATTTCCCAGCATGCAGAGGATTATTAGGCCAGAAGCAAATAAATGGGATGTGTGATGTCAAAGCTTCAAATGCGATCAAGAAAAATTGTCTAATTGATTTTGCTGCAATTATCGTTTTTGGAAAGCAATTCCTCATTTTTTTAACTTTTTCTTATCTTTTAGAATTTTTAAAGATTTATCTCGATATATGCATAGAGGGAATATGTAATCCATTATCCTAATATCTCCCTCACAAAACCTAGAGAATATAGTTTTAAACTAGCCTCACTCAGAATAAAACATTCTTAGGTTAACATGATAATTATCAACACATCCCTCCCTCCTCCATTCCCCTACCCTCAGTCTTTTTTTTTTTTTTTTTAAGAATGCTGACACCATGACACATTCATTATCTAAACTTCAACATTCCTTACCTTGGTCAGCTAAAAGTGAATTAAATGAATAATGGAAAACTTTCTTCTTAAATCTTGTTAGGCTTTCATCTTTCCTCTTATTTTCTTAATTTCTCTCTGGATATTGAAGTTAGGAGAAGTTGCTCAGGAAAATTTATTTCCTTTTTCTGTTTTATTTTTGTGTGATAGCTCTGAGAACAAAAATAAACAATTACTTTTTTTTTTGTCTCCCATGTAAAAGAAACAAGCTCTCAAGCCTCAATTCTCACTCTAATAAAAATGAATGCTTCTAAAAAATGCACGTATGATATTAAATATGTGCATATGTACATTCCCAGTATATAAAAATACTTAAAACACATTCACACATGGCCAGCTACATATGGCATAATGCATGAACATATATATGTGTAAATACACACACACATATACATACAAGACACACACATATACACACATTATATAATAAAATATAACTATCTCTATATATTGTAATCTCTTTGTGTACAAGTATATTTACACATTAATGCAAATGATTACATTGTTCTGAATTTTGTTTAATTGTGAATAACTTACAAAGATATGAAATCTATTTAGAAATATATTTTACATTTTAAGCCAGTAAAATTCCAAAGGTATTTGGCAAGTATGTGGGAGTAGTTTTTCTATTGTCTTATTAGATATTCCTGAATTTGAGTCATTTGAATTACACAAGAATATATTTCTATAAATTCAGTTAGAAAATCTGAAGTAATTGAAAACTGTTAGCTTTCATTCTTTAATAACTATTTCAAGCTAAGAAATGTCTGCTATGGATGAAATATAGCAATTAGCCAAAGATTTTATAAATAAACAAAAAACCAACAGAAGTATACTATTTTTAAAGGCAAAGTGGCAAATGTATAAATTATTTCTTTTATTAGAAAAATTACATATGCACAGCTTTGGAATAATAAATATTTCATTAAAAGTATTATGTAAAATTTTCAAATGGTTTCTTGCTTTTTCCCTTCCCTTCTTTTCCTTGCTAATCAATTCATTCTAAAAGTCATTATGCAGGATTGTGCAAAGTAAGGCTCAGCACAGGAAATGTTCAACTACTGTGGTGGCCAAGTGCAAGGTATTCAACACAAGCAAGCATGTTGACCAAGGTATCTGCCAAGAAGGGTGATCTGGCTCAGAGTATTAGAACCCAAGTGGTATAAGGAAGGTTTGTCCGCTGAGGCAGCTGAGTATACTGTGTTGGAGCTCAGACAATGTAAGAAAGGGATTTATGTGGGGCTTGGCCAACTATAAAGTATAAGTACCCAAGTAGGGTAAAAGGGCATCCCCAGGGGGAAGATGTAGTGTAGCATGGAGTATCAGGACACAAGAGAGAAGAGGACTCCTGAGTGAGAGAAATCAGATATGGGGTTTTAGAGTCAGTGCAGGTAAAAAGAGTGCTTGTAGGAAGAGTAGTTTAGCTCAAGATCTTGGAGTCTGAGTGGATAAGGAAAATATCCATGTGGTTTATGTGGGGGATGTGGTCTGGCAGGGATGTGTAAGTTCAAGCAATGTAAAGGGATTGTTGGCATAGAAAAGTAAAAGCAATGGCAATGGAAAATTGGTTATATAAAGGAATATTTGTTTAAATAAGTAAATATATTGACAATAAGTATAGTTACGGTGAAAAGGCTTCTATTTAACGGCTCTGGTACAATCTGAGCATTAAAATAAATAATGATAGTAACAAATGATAAGCCATTGAATAAAATAGAAATTCATAAATTAATGGAGAAATTGAAATTTTGATTAGGAACAGGATATATTCGTAGTACCAAAGAACTCATTCACAAAATTATTAATTTAAAAAGAAACAAAAATATGTAGAAGTCTAAGAAACACTATATTGATCAAGAGATCACAATTAACACCACCACAAAGTGTGGAGTTAAGATCTCTGAAAATCTATTTCTCCATAAAAACACTGAGAACATAGGAGGTATTGTTAAAATCAACTTTTTCAGAACCGTGGAAATTAACTAAAGACTTCTAACAACTCAATAAGTGGTTATTCAAGAAAAATTGCTGAATCTCAGGAAAAACATTGAGCATTGTGGCAGATTACTTTATTCTATTTTCATCCTGTCTTCATAGGTCACTAGGAGTATAGAAAATAAGCAGCCTCATATCCATGGTCACAGTGAAAACTAGGAGGATAGCAGCCAATGGAGAGGGAAGAATGGGTTTGGAAATCCCCACAAAGCTCCATCTTCAGAGAACTGTCATTATTTGACCTGCCTGGAAGCTCCCTGGAAAAGCCCCATTCAAAGGGTTGTCTTTATCTGACCTGATTCAGAGCTCACTCAGTGTGAAGGCTCTATCCCCTGGTGTTTCTCTAAAAAATAAGTGGCAATTATTTAACACATAGTTACCTGAGTTGGCAAAATCAGCTGGAGACACCAAGAGTCTGTCCAGTGAATTTAAAAAGGAAAGGAGAAGTCCATAAAGGGCTTTGAAAAGATCTGAAAGGTCTAAAGGAATCTAGAAGGCTATGCATATGTTCAGGACAGTGCTCATGACTAGGAAAGGCCTGAGTACATCTTAATCGCTCATGTTTGGCTGACATTAAGACTCTGCAAAGTCAGGAAGTGAAGACCAAGATTGAATTGTAAATTTCCAGAGCATTGCAAAATTACTTCAACAGAGATAGTCGCTCAGCAAAAAATGGAAGTTGTTTATTCTAGGCATTTTTATAAGTCTCTGTTTAATCATTCACTGGACAGTGCAGAAACTTTCAGTGGCTACGTAAGAAAAAAAAAACACACACAGACTCCACAGAATTAGTTTGGAAAGTCTATGAATAATCAGCAACAGCAACAACAATAACAAACAACAACAATAAACCATGGAAAAGGGTAAGGATCTGAATCCCAGAGTTATGACATTATATAATTTTAAGTGTCTAGTATTCAACAAAATATGATAAGATACACAAATACACAGGAAAGTGTGGTCTATACATGCTTTACATATATTAAAATCTGTCCCTGTGAATAATATCCAGAATCTACACAAAAACTCAAACAAATCTGTAAGAAAAAAAACAACCCCATCAAAAACTAGGTAAATTACATAAATAAACACTTCTCAAAAGAAGAGAGACAAACATATGAAAAAAATACTCAGCACTAATCACTGGGGAAAAGCAAATTAAAACCACAATGAGATACCATTTGACCCCAGCCAGAATAGCTATTACTAAAAAGCCAAAAAAAAAAAAAAAATAAGTGTTGTCATGAATATGATGAAAAGGGAATACTTATACACTGTTGGTGGGAATATAAATTAGCACAGCCTCTATAGAAACTAGTATGGAGATTTCTCAAATAACCAAAAATAGATCTACAATTCAATCCATAAGCCCACTGCTGGGTATCCACCCAAAGGAAAATAAGTTGTTATATTAAAAAAGGACATCTGAATGCATATATTTATCACAGCATAATTCACAATTGCAAAGATATGGAACCAACCTAAATGCCCATCAAAAGATGTGTGGATAAAGAAAATGTGGTCTATAGGAAATCCATGGAATATTTCTCAGACATAGATGGAACCAAAGAATGTCTTGTACAGCAATGTCGATGGAGCTGGGGGCCATTCTAAGTGAAGTAACTCAGGAATGGAAAACCAAACACCCTATGTTCTCACTTATAAGCTAAGCTATGAGTAAGCAAAGGCATACAGAGTAGTATAATGGACACTGGAGACTCAGAAGTGGGGAGGCTGAGAGGGAGGTGAGGAATAAAAAACTACATATTGGGTACAGTGTACACTACTTGGGAGATGGGCTGACTAAAATCTCAGACTTCAACACTATACAATTCATCTATATAACCAAAAACCACTTGTGTTCCCAAAGCTATTGAAATTATATATATATATGATATATATATGTGTGTGTATATGTATATATAAGTGTATATATATGAAATTATATGTACGTATCTGTGTATGTGTGTGTGTGTGTGCGTGTGTGTGTATTTATATATGTATATATGAAAACAAACCTGCCCCTATGGATGTCTAGATACTGGACATACTAGACAAAGAGTTCAAATCAGCTAATATATATATGATATACGTGTGTGTGTGTATGTATACATGCAACAAACTAAACTTATGTATACATTCAAAGAAATAAAAACAACCATGTCTAAAGAAGTAAAGTAGAAAACAATGTTTCATCAAATAAAGATATCAAAATTATAAGAAAATTAAATAGAAATTATGGATTTTGTAAAGCATCACAGCCAAAATGAAAATTTACTAGAGGGTCTCATATGTGTGAGTGCAGAAAAAAGAGTCAACAAATGAAGAAGATAGGTCGATTGAGATGTTCTAATCTGAAAAAAAAGAGGAAAACATATGGAGAAAAAAATCAACAGAGTTCCAGAGACCTGTGAGACAGGAACAAGCACATTAATATAGCACACAGAGAAACTAGAAGTAGAGTAGAGAGTGAAAGGGACAGAAAGAACGTATAAAGAAACTAGGGCCAGAAACTTTCCAAATTCAGTTTTTAAAAAATGTTAGTCTATATACACAGAAAGCACAATGAACTCAAAATAGACTAATCTCAAAGAGATTCCACCTAGACAAAACATAATCACATTTTTTGAAAGTAAAACAGGGAATCATGAAAGTAGAAGGAACAAAATGACTCATGATATATAAGGAATCTTCAAAAAGGTTGATAGCTAACTTTCCATCAGAAACTCTGAGGCTAGAAGGCAAGAGGGTGACATATTTAAAGTGCTGAATTGAAAAACTTTATACAAGAATTCTATATGAAGGAACACTATCCTTCAAATATAAAGGATAAATTAAAACAGTTCATATTTTTTTTAAATGAGAGAATATGTTACTAGCACCAGCCTTCCACAAAATACAAAAGGCAATCTTTCAGGCCAAAACAAAAGGACATTAAACAAGAACTTTAACATGTACAAAGAAATACAACTAACTACACAATAAAAGCAACTATACAGGTAAATATAACCAACAGCATTAAAATATTTTTATGGTAATTCTTTTCTCCTCCTATGTGACATAAAAGACAAGAATATAAAGCAATAATTACAAAAGTTTGTTGATTGGATTATAAATAAGAATGAATTATTAGGATGACTATGATAACAGAAAGGAGGAAGTAAACAGTGCTCTATTAGAGCAGAATTTTTATATAGTATTAGAAATAAATTGGCATTTTTCTGAATGAGATTATTTAAGTTACAATGTTAATTGTATTTCCTAGAATAATCACTAATAACGTAACTCAAAATATAGTAAATGGAATAAAAAGAGTTTGGGCTCAGAAAAGGATACCCCAAAATATGACACTTAAGTAGGCTGAGTGTCTTGAATTAAATGAAATTGGAAGGTCTTTGAAGCTGCCTCGGAACCAGTAATTTTCTAACATTATTTTGTTCCTTCTCCCTCCAAGTGCAAGGAATGACTCTCTCTAAAATTTTCTTATCTCATTAAAGAAATTTCTTTCCCAAAGAAATGCAATATTCCCAAGATCCCCTCCCTAAGGATCTCATCAAATAACTAGGAAAGATTAACCACTGGAAAAGAGAAGAAACTAAATATCATCATCAAACTCAGATAGAGTTTTCCTCTATTCTTCTAAGAGCAATTCTGAGCAATTATCAGGAAGATTTTGTATACATAATAAAACAAACTTTGTTCACAGTGCAGTTCTGACCCTCACTTACCCTTAACTTGACAATTCTATCTAGTTTCCTAACAGAATCATTAGCAAGATATTGTCTGCCCCTCGGTTCTATCCATTTCTCCTAAAAATCATTTTCCACTCCTCTAAAACTGTCTACAGCACCCCCAATTCCCTCTTTATGAAGAAGGTATTTCAGTCTTAACCATCTGGCCCTTCGTCGAATCTCATATGTGTGGGACTCCTGTGTTCTTGTGTCAATCTGTTTATTTTCAGTTCATTTCAGCAGTTAACCTTCAGATGAAAAAGGGAGGCTTTCCCTCCACCCCTACACAAGTAAAAGGAAGAAAGAAGATAAAGTCCAATCAGTAACCAAAGACAGTGGGAGTGGCTGTATTAATACAAGGATTAATAAGCTTCCTTTTAAATACCCCTGAAACTTTCTCCAGAATAGACTATATGTTACACCACCAAAAAGCTTCCATATGGTTAAGAGGATTGGCATCACAGAAAGACTGTTTTCCAATAAAAATGAAATTAAATTTTATACAATAACATAAGAAAATCGGGGAATTCAAAAATATGTGAAAAGCAGACAACACACTCCCAAATAACCAATGGTCCAAAGGAGAAATAAAATGCAAAAATAGAAAATATTTTAAGATGAATGAAAACGAAAATACAATATACCAAAATGTATGACGTGCATCTAAATCAGTGTTTACAAGTAAATGTGTGGCTCTACAGCAGGGGTCCTCAATCCCCTGGCCATGGATCAGTACTGGTCTACGGTCTGTTAAGAACCAGGTCACACAGCAGGAGATGAGTAGCAGGCAAGTGAGCCTTATCACCAGAGCCCCACCTCCTGTCAGATCAGTAGTCACATTAGATTCACATAGAAACATGAACCCTCCTGGGAACTGCATATGTGATGGTTGCACGTTCCTTATGAAAATCTAGTGTTTGATTATGTGAGGTAGAGCAGTTTCATCCCCAAATCATCCCCATCTCCATTCTCTTGCTGCTATGAAGAAATACCTGAGAATGTGTAATTTATAAAGAAAAGAGGTTTCATTGACTCACATGGATGGGGAGGCCTCAGGAAACTTACAATCATGGCAGAAGGCACCTCTTCACAGGACAATAGTAGAGAGAATGAGTGCCAAGCGAAGGGAGACACCCCTTATAAAACTATCAGATATTGTAAGAACTCACTCACTGCCACAAGAACAGCAAGGGGGAACCTCCCCCATGATTCAATTATCTCCATCTGGTCCCAATTCAAGGTGAGATTTGGGTGGAGAAAAACAGCCAAACTATATAATTATATCATTCTACTACTGGCCCCTCCCAAATCTCATGCCCTCATATTTCAAAACAAAATCATGCCCCTTCAACAGTCCCCCAGAGTCGTAACTCAATCCAGCATTAACCCAAATGTCTAAGTGCAAAGTCTCATCTGAGACAAGGCAAGTCCCACCTGCCTATGAACCTGTAAAATTAAAAGCAAGTTAGTTACTTCCTAGATACAATGTGGGGTACAGGCATTGAGTAAACACATCAATTCTAAATTGGAGAAAATGGCCAGAACAAAAGGGCCCATGCAAGTCCAAATTTTAATAGGGCAGTCATTAAATTCTAAAGTTCCAAAATGATCTCCTTTCATTCCATGTCTCACATCAAGGTCATGCTGATGCAAGAGGCAGACTCCCATGGCCTTGTGCAGCTCTGCCCCTGTGGCTTTGCAGAGCACAGCCCCCTCTCAGCTTCTTTCACAGGCTGGTGTTGAGGGTCTGTGGCTTTCCCAGGTGCACAGTGCAAGCTGTCAGTGGATCTACCAGTCTATGGTCTGGAGGATGGTGGCCTTCTTCTCACAGCTCCACTAGGCAGTGCCCCAGTGGGAACTGTGTGGGGGCTCTAATCCCACATTTCCCTTCTGCACCGCCCTAGCAGAATTTCTTCATGAGGGCTCTGCCCTTGCGGCAAACTTCTGCCTGGACATCCAGGCATTTCTATACATCCTCTGAGATCAAAGTTGTGGTTCCCAAACCTCAATCATTGACTTCTGTGAACATACAGGTTCAACACCATGTGGAAGCCACCAAGGTTTGGGACTTGCATCCTCTGAAGCACTGGTCCAAGCTGTACTTTTGTGTCTTTTAGCCATGGCTGGAGCTGATGCAGCTTAGACACAGGGCACTATGCCCCAAGGCTGCATAGAGTAGGGGGATCCTAGGCCTGCCACACAAAACCATTTTTCCCTCCTAGGCCTCTGGACCTGTGATGGGAGTGGCAGCCGTGAAGCTCTCTGACATGCCCCAGAGACATTGCCCCCATTCTTATTGTCATTAACATTAGCCTCCTTGTAACTTAAGCAAATTTCTGTAGCCGTCTTGAATTTTTCCCCAGAAAATGAAATTTTCTTTTCTATCACATTGTCAGGCTGCAAATTTTTCAAAATTTTTATGCTCTGCTTCCTCTTGAATGTTTTGCCACTTCGAAATTTCTTCTGCTGGATACCACATATCATGTCTCTCAACTTCAACTTTCCTCAGATCTCTAGGGCAGGGGCAAAATGCTACTAGTCTCTTTGTTAAAGCATAGGAAAAATTACCCTTATTCCAGTTCCCAACAAATTCCTCATCTCCATCTGAGGCCACCTCACCCTGGACTTCATTGTTCCTATTACTATCAACATTTTGGTCAAAGCCATTCAACAAGTCTCTAGGATGTTCCAAACTTCCCTCCATCTTTCTGTCTTCTGATTGCTCGTAACTAGAATGCTCCAAACTTTCCCATGTTTTCTTGTCTTCTTAGCCTTCCAATCTATTCCAACGTCTGCCTGTTACCCAGTTCCAAAGTCACTTTCACATTTTTGAGTACCCTTATAGCAGCACCCCACTCCTGGTACAAATTTCCTGTATTAGTCCATTCTCACACTGCTATAAGGAAAAACCCAAGACTGGGTAATACATAAGAAAAAGAGGTTTAATTGACTCACAGTTCTGTATCACTGGCGAGTCCTCAGGAACTTATAATAATGGTGGAAGACACTCCTTCATAGGGCAGCAGGACAGAGAATTAATACTGAGAAAAAGGGGTAAGCGCCTTATAAAACCATTGGATCTCCTGAGAACTCACTCACCATTACTAGAACAGCATGGGGAAAATTGCTTCCATGATTCAGTTATATCCACCTTGTCCTATCCTTGACACATGGGAATTATTACAATTCAATGTGAGATTTGGGTGGGGACACAGAGCCAAACATATCACCCATCCAGGGGAAAATTGTCTGTCAGGAAACCAGTCCCTGGTGCCAAGAAATTTGGGGACTGCTGCTCTGCAGGACTACATCTTAAAAGAAAATCTCAAATCAACTAACTCATCACTTTAAGAAGGGAGAACAAGAGGAGTAAAAATCAAGCTGACAGAGAAAGCAAACAATAATCATCAGAGTGAAAATAAATGATGTAGACAATTTAAAAAATAGAAAAAACAAAACGAATTTTTTTGTAATTATCAACAAAATTAACAAATCTTGAAGTAGACTGACAAAAAAAGAAGAGAGAAGACTCATATCTAAATCGGGAAATAAATCAGAGATATCACAACTAGTCCTACAGAAATAAAATTATTAGAAAATCTCATTATCAACTGTATGCCAACACATTCTATAACTTTAGTTGAATTGAGCAAACACTAGAAAGACAAAAATATGGAAACTGTCTGAAGAAGAAACGGAAAACCTGCATAAACCTATAACACCTAATGAGCTTGAATTAGTGAAAGCAAAACAAAACACAAAAACACTCCAAATTTTCTTCAGTAAAATTACCACTGAAGATTCCCAAATATTTAAGAGGAATTAACAGTATTCCTTCACAAAGATATACACAAAATAGATGAGGATGGGACACTTTTCAATTTATTTTATGAAGCCAGGATAACTCTGACATCAAAACCACACACGTATCAAAAGAAAAAAAAGGAATTAATTAATAAAAGAAAAAAACACACACCATTATTTCTATTTCTCAACAGCAATAAATTTGGGAGTGAAATTTAACAATGAATAGAAACAAATGAATATCAAGTAATTTTACCTCATAGAGGATTTAAAAGTAAGTTAAATAATTCCATGCTTTATTTTGTTTAGAATGAAGATGAACATCACCTAACTAGGGATCCAGTTGAGTAGGAGTCATCTTGACAATTTCATGAATGAGTAGATGGACACACTCTCCACTCCTCAATATCCATGAATAAAAGCTCTTTATGTATAAGACAATCTATATTTACAAATTCTAATCTAAGGTAGACCAATAACAACAACAAAACAAAAGTTCCTAGGTAGAGACAATTCTAAAATATATCAATTAATTTTTCTTTTCATCCACAGTTAGGTGCAGGGGCAATCATTTCATACACACTCAACTTACACAGCAATTGTTGATTGTGAGTTAAGGGTAGAATGACCCCATGCTTTATTGCTTAAAGATACAACTAACAATTACAGGTCTATTCTTTGGCCTTTCAGGGTTACCGCTGCTAATGAAACCTGCACCTGCCAAATTTTGAACTTCTAAACTGCTGTACACTTCAATGTAATTATCCAAATTCTACAGTGCATCAAATAAGGATGTCTTGTGGTAGTTGAACATTTAGTCATTAAATATAAAACTGATTTGTACTGATATATGTCTTTTTAGTTTAATGGAGAAAATGCCAAAATAATTCTCAGACATTTTAAAACTATAGCAAAAACTCAGAGAGCATCCAGAAAAACCAATGACAATTGGATTTGGAAGCAAACTTACAAGATGTAGAGTTTGTGTTTTCTGAAGAATAAAGTAATTGTCATTTCCTGCTAACAACAGAATTTATTCTTATACACTTTCTTGGACTAAACTGAAGTAAATATACCACATAAATATCCCATTTTTATTCAGTAAGTGTTCTAGCAGAACACACTAAAGAGCAAGTCATGTAATTAACAAATTATCTACTCTCTCCTTCGAATAAATTTTAAGAGGAGAGAATTTTAAATGGCTATGTAGACAAGTAGGCCCTGGCTAAGTGTTGACCAGTCATCTGCTACAGCTTGAAGCATCTTTTTTCTCAAGCAGAAAATGGTCTGGAAGTTATTCCAGCAATGATGTTCAAGAACATAAATTATCACAACAGTCCCCTATGAAATTATCGGTATTTATTTCAGTCAATTACTAGATTTTATCATTCCAAATTATTGTTTTAGTTTTTTATCCTCTCTACCCAAACTGAAGAAATTATGTCTCATAAGAAGCTAAACTATTAGCAATTAATTAACTCTCAAATTGGAGTATCCAAACTACCCCAGTACATTTAATTTCTAGGTTTTAAGACTTCATCTACCTCATACACTTAATATTTTTCATATTCTTTCAAAATAAAAAGGTTGTTTTCACATGCTCAGTGACATCAATGAAACTTTATAACACACACACACAGACACACACACACACACACACACACACACACACACACACACAGGGAAATAAAGCTCGTAATAATTTAGCCCTATCTGTTGAAGATCACAGGGCAGTAAACTAGAAGTGTCTAAAAATGTCAAGCTCAGAATAAGAGTTAATTTATTATATAAGTTATTATATAAGTTAATCTTTAATTCTAACTCTATTTTTCCACCCTAAGATACAGATTAAAATATAAAGCCAAAGAGAAAAGAGAGGTACATGTAGACCTTTTCTACCAAATCAGTTGATTGAATGTACTAAGCCCTTCACTCTACAGAAGCTCACTGTTCCTTCTTTCATGGTGGATAGCTAAGGCAACTTCTACTGATAATTCTTGGTCACCACTACTTAGCAGATTTAGTTAACTATTGCTATTCTAATTATTTCTATTTTATGACATGTCCCAATTCTGCTGCTTACTTCCAGGCACTGATGCAATAGGCTCCTTTACCTTGTTACATAGCATCTTCAATAAGTTGTGTATGTGTGTGTGTGTATGTGTCAGTGAGTCAGTGTGACTGTGTGTCTTCTACAAGGCCCTGGCAATTCTTCCCAGGAGAGTTAAATTTCAGGCTAGCTCCTAAAATTCTCTTAGGGAATCAGAGTAATTATAAAGTATAGCCTTCCTTACCATCAATCAACCAAGCCTTGTGATTTAGTGGAAGCCTGTTTACTATCAGTTTGTTCTAATCTTGATTTCACATATTCCTGGAAATGCAGGGTACAGCCCACCATTCGTCATAAAATATAAATTTACATAGCCCTAAACCGTTGTAAACTCGTGTATTTCCTTTATACTCTCACTGTCATTTCTATAATGCAATGATGCCAATTAAATAAACCTATCCCATGATGTACATTTCTCTTTAGAAATATATCTTTAATGTTTTTTAATTGTGTGGGTTCATAGCAGGTGTATCTACTTGTGATGAACATGAGAAACTTTGATACAGTCAAGCAATATAGAATAAAATTTCCTTTGTCATGGAAAATAGGGTATTATTCTCCTCAAGTATTTGTTATTTGTGTTATAAGCAATTCAATTATACACTTTTGGTTGTTTTTAAACATACAATTAAATTGTTATTGACTATAGTCACCCTGTTGTATTATGAAACACTACCTTTTATTCGTTCTTCATAAATAGTTTCTGGTACCCATTACTGATCCCTACTTCCCTCTTGATCCCCACTCTCCTTCCCAGCCTCTAGTAACCATCCTTCTGCTCTCTATCTCCATGAGTGCAATTGTTTTCATGTTTAGCTCCCACATACAAGTGAGAAATTGTGAAGTTTGTCTTTCTGATTCTGATTTATTTTACTTTACATAATGTCCTCAAGTTCCATCCATGTTGTTGTCAATAATAGGATCACATTTTCTCAGGGCTGAATAGTACTCCTTTGTGTATATGTACCAAATTTTCCTTATTTATTTATCTGTTGATGGACACTTAGGTTGCTTCCAAATCTTGGCTACTATGAAAAGGGCTTAAACAAACAGGGGAGTGCAGATATCTCTTCGATATACTGATTTTCTTTGTTTTGCCTACATATCCAGCAGTGGAAGTGCTGGGTTGTATGGCAGCTCTATTTTTAATTTGTTGAGGAACCTCCAGACTCTTCTCCATAGTTGTACTAATTTATCTTCTACCAAATGTACAAGGGTGCCCTTTTCTCCACATCCTCTCCAGCATTTCTTATTGACTGTCTTTGGGATACAAGCCAATTTAACTGGAGAGAAATAATATCTCATTGTAATTTTGATTTGCATTCCTCTGATAATCAATGAATTAGAGCACCTTTTCATATGCCTGGTTTTCATTTGGATATTTTCTTTTGATAAATGTCTATTCAAATCATTTTCTCACCTTTTCATTGAATTATTAGATTTTTTTTTCCTATAGAGTTCCAATACATCTGGCAGCAGACTTTTCAGTGGAAATCTTACAGGCCGAGAGAGTGGCATGACATATTTAAAGTGCTGAAGGAAAAAACAAAAAACAAAAAACTTTTATCCTAGAATGGTATATCTGGTGAAAATAACCTTCAAGAGTGAGGGAGAAATAAAGACTTTCCTATACAAACAAACTGAGGGATTTCATCAATACTAGACCTGTCTTACACAAATGGTCAAGGGTACTCTGCAATCTGAAGGAAAAAGTATGTTAATGAGCAACAAAAAGTCAGCTGAAGGTACAAAATTCACTGGTAATAGCACACAGAAAAACACAGAATATTATAACAATATTGTTATTTGTTTCTTTTATTTTGCTGCTTTTAGTATTCTTTCTTCGTCCTTGACATTTGGAGTTTGTTTATTAAATGCCTTGAGTACTCTTTGGGTCAAATCTGTCTGGTGTTCTGCAACCTTCTTGTACTTGAATATTAATATCTTTCCTTCGCTTGGGGAAGTTCTCAGATATTATCCCTTTCTATAAACTTTCTAACCCTGTGTCTTTCTCTACCACCTCTTTAAGGACAATAGCTCAGATTTTTCCTTTTGGGGCTATGTTCTGAATCTTGTAGGCATGCTTTATTGTTTTATTCTTTTTTCTGTTGTCTCTTCTGGATGTATATTTTCAAATAGCCTATCTTCAAGCTCAAAAATTCTTTCTTTCTGCTTGATAAATTCTGCTATTAAGAGAGGCTGATGCATTCTTTAGTATGTCAGTTGCATAGTTCACTTTAGAATTTCTGCTTGATTTTTTTATTATTTCAATCTCTTTGTTAAATTTATCTGAGAGAATTCTTAATTCCTTCTCTGTGTTGCCTTGAATTTCTTTGAGTTTTCTCAATGCAGCTATTATGAATTCTCTGTTTGAAAGGTCACATATCTCTTTCTTTAGGACTCATCGCTGCTGTCTTATTTAGTTCATTTGATGATTTCATGTTTTCTTGGATAGTCTTGATGCCTGTAGATATTTGTCAGTGTCTGGACACGGACAAGTTTGCTATTTAGTTTAGTTTTCAAATTCTGGGCTTGTTTGTGCCCATCCTTCTTGGGAAGACTTTCCAGGTATTAAAAAAACTCTTGGGCTCCAAGTCCAATAATGCTGTGGTTCTTGCAGACTCATAGAGGTACCATCTTGGTGGTCTTGGATAAGATCCAGAATTATGTGAATTACTAGGTAGAGATTCTGTTCTTTTCCCTTAGTTTCTCCCCAACAAATAGAAGCTCACTCTCTCTGTGCTGAGCTTTCTAGAATGTAGGGTTGAGAAAAACAAATCCCAGTGGCCACCACCACTGGGATTTCACTGGGTCAGACCTGGAGCCAGCACAGAACTGGGTCTTGCCCAAGGCCTGCTATAACCACTACTTGGCTACCATCTATAATCACTCAAGGCCCAAGACTCTATGATCAGCAGATGGTGAAGGCAGCCAGATTTGTGTCCCTCCTTTTAGGTCAATGAGCTCCCCCAGGCCCCAGGTGGGTCCAGAGATATTGTCCAGAAGCCAAGGATTCGATTCAAAGACCTTAGAAATTTACCTGATGTTCCATTCTACATTTGCTAAGCTGGCACTCAAACCACAAATAAAGTCCTTCCTGCTTTTTCCTCCCATTTCCATAGGCAGAAGAGTCTCTCCCTGTGGTTACCATCACCACTGGCCCATGAAGTTTTCTGCTAGGTCACTGACATTGTTCACTTAAAGCCCAAGGCTCTTCAATTAATTTGTGGTGAATCCAATCAGGCCTGGGACTAACTCCTCAGAGCACTGGTCTCCCCACCAGCTCGGGGCTGGTCCAGAAATGCTAACCAGAAGCCAGGCCTGGACTTGGGCACCTCAAGAGCCTGCTTGGTGCTCTATACCACTGTGGCCGAGCTAGTACCTAATGTATAAGATGAAGTCCCCTTTACTTTTCCCTCTGCTTTCCTCAAATAGAAGGAGTCTTTCACTATAGCCACCACAGCTTAGAATGTGCTGGGTCACAACTGATAGCAGCACATCTCAGAGCCCAAGGATCATAGTGTACTACCTAAGTATCACTGTTGTTTATTCAAGGCCCATGGGTTCTTTAGTCAGTTCTTTAATCCTGCCAAAACTGGGTCCTTCCCTTCAAAGAAATGGGTTATTTTCTGGGCCAGAGAGCATCTTGAAATGTCATCCACGAGCTAGGGCCTGGAATGGGGGCCTCACAACTCTACCTGGTGCCTTATCCTACTGTTGTTTTGCTGATATCCAAGATGTAAGATAAAGTCCTCTTTGCTCATCATTCTCCTCTCTTCAAGCAATAGGAAGGAGTCACTTTCATTACACTGCCTGGGGTTGGGAGAAAAGTGGTGCAAGTACTCCCTTTGCTGCCCAGTCTGGTGTCTCCCTAGGTCATGTGACCCTCAAGTCCACTGGCTCTAAGCCCAGCCCAGGACTAAGACTTGCCTAGAATTTGCAGTACTTATGTCCTAGGCTGCCTTTCAATTTTACCTATGACTCAAGAGTATTTGGCCTGCCATAGTGAAGCCTGCAGAGAAACTCAAATTCTTACCCCTGGGCTGGGCTCTTCCCCTTTGGCTAGGTGCAATCCAAATGCTCCCTCTGTGTGAGGGCACTGACTGATTCCAGCATGGCTTTGTTCTCTGCTGACAGGGCAGCATTGACTTTCAAAGTAAAGTATTCTAGTCACTGAACTCTTTATCCCCCAAGTGCACAGATTCTCTCTTGGCACAGTACTGCTGCTGCAGGACAATGTGGGAGGGGTGACATCCAAGGTTCAAGACTGCCTGTCTTAGCCTCTTTAGTGCATTTTTCAGTGATATGAAGTAAAAACCAGGTGCTGCGATTGCTCACCTGGTTTTTGGTTCTCGTGTTGGTGTTTTTTTGTATGTAGTTATTTGTTAAAATTTGCTGTTTCTGTGTGTAGGATGAATGGTATAGTTCAGCCATCTTGCTCTACCCTTAGAACTATATCTTGATGTTTTAGAAATATGTCTTGATTACATAAGTGGGTAACAGTGGCAAGTTTGAAACACAGCTGGATATTCAATCATGAACAAGATATTCAATCATGAACAAAGTATTCAATCATCCATTCATTCGCTCAAAAATACTCATTGAGGAATACCTGCTCCATTTCAGGCATCATGCTGGATAACTGTGAACAAGAAACAAGGCAGATCCCTATGGTCACTGACTGTAGCAAAGTTACATTCTGGTGAGAAACAGAAATAAATATTTTTTTCTATCCTTGAAGATATTCAAAATTCCTTTGAAATGGAAAATTCTGGCTTTCATGACAAGAAAGAGATTTGGGAATAGGCAAAAATTGAAACAGAAAAATACAGAGATTTTTTCTTTTAAATTATGCCAGAATTGAAAAAAGCTCATGACTGAGCGCAGGTCTCTACTGCTTAAGGAAGTATGTGAATTCAGGTGCCTACATGAACTAATAATTATTTTAAGTTTTATTTCCAGTTTCCAATATGAACGGATTCGTCTTCCTTATAGGGTTTCCACAGCCCCTCGGAAAGAACACAGAGAAAACCCAGACATTGGAGCAGGCACATGGGCGAACTGGAGCTATAGAAAATTCAGAGGGTCAGGAAATGGAGGTCGTGTTTATAAACAGCCACAGAAGAATCTGATTAACAGCACTTGGTTTTGACTGAGTCCCGTGCTTCCCCAGAAGCCGTGGTCCACGCCCGTGACCTTTGTCTCCCCAGCACTGAGGCACAGCATCTATTCTACTATGCTCACTTAAGTTATCTTGAGCCAGAAGCTATCTAAGAGAACCTTGCCTTAGTGGATATGGTAAGATTCTGAGTATAGACAGAATTTGGGATAGAAGTTATGAACCATAAACATAAAGTATTTGAGGATTCCACAACTTTACCAGGGGAAAAACTAAATTCCAAGGGATTTGAGGAGAATATGACAAAGCAGAAGTGATCAGTGTAGTCACTGGGTCAGTGGAAACAGGGGCCCCATGCCTTTCTTCTAAGCAGAGAACAGGGAGACAGCAAAAATCCCAACTAAGCATCTGATTCTGACAGCTAAAATTAGTTATGCCACAGAGAGATGGCAACACCTGAGAATAGAAACAGTTCTGTGATGTGGTTGGACATACGATAACAGCACTTTCAGAGGAATTCCTCTGCTGAGCATGACCTAGAAGGGGAAAAATGATTTTTGTGTGCCTGTGCATGACACAGAATTAAATATGAAGACCATCAGACTTGAAGCTGTTTTGCCAAGATAAATGAGAGGTGTCCCAGCAGATTCCTTTATGGACAAATTGTGTGGAAGACCAGACTCTAGCACATCCACATTACACCTCATGTCCATCAATACCTTAGTGTTGAATGAAATCATGGAAAATTGACACCTTTATCAAGTTGAATAAAGAAAAATAAAGTTACATATTATGTGGACCCAAATTTGTGGACTGAGATGTATATCCGCCAAAATTCAGTGACAAAGGCAGCAATTTGAGAAGATTCATTAAGATAAAGTAACAATTGTATACCTGGACTTGGAGTCTCTTCCAGAGAAGATATGACACCAATAACTTGGCAAGACACTAGAAAGGATCCTGGATAGGCCTGGGCAGCCACCTTAGCCATACTGGCTAAAGGTGGTCATAATCTCTTTGCAAAAAGTTATTTAGAAACTTCACAATCTCACACAAAACCACACATTTGTTCCCTTTTAGAGCGTGGGTTTAGATTTCTTCAGAAGCGATTTTGTTGTCCTGGTAAAGTTTCTATGAAGAATCCCTACAGACTCTGTTAAAGGTGTCTGATATTTACGCTTTAGGTCTTACCTAAGTCTAACATTGATTCCGGAAGCACAGAGTGGAAAAACCCAACAGGCAACGTCCTTAGAGATGCTGCCCTAATGAGGTTTATTTCTTCCTGGGTATGTTGCCTGACACACTTGTACCTGATACTTTTGGTGTTTTCTTATGAGTAGACCACGTTTTTTCACTTCTACCTTTGAGAATTCACAGTAAGTGGATTCACATATAACGAAATAGATTCATCACTACGCCCTATACTTTTTCTGACTATTTCTTCAGTAGTCAAGTGTACTTTTCAAAAATGAAACAGATGATGAAACAGAGGGGACAATGTTCAGAATAAAAGTCCACATAATGAGCACATATCAACCCTATCTTGTCACAATTTACAGGTAGATGTGTTGAAACAGCAGGGCAAGTTTCTGAGGCTAATTCATTGGTGGATTCTAGAATACTATATAAATAAAATTAAAATCTCCGTATACTCTTTATTGCTTTTATTCTTTTCTCCCACACTACCATCTCCTTTCCTGATTAATAATACTTTTCCTGGAAGCTGTTCTTTGTTTTTTTTGTTTTTTTTTGTTTGTTTGTTTTTAATCCCGTGAGGACCATTTCTTGTGGCAGTCCATGCCCTGCCCCCATTTCTCATTGTTTTCGCTTCACTGTATTATTTCTGGTGACACTGCACGACTTCCAAGTGACTCTCCCTCCGTATTATTTATCAACTTTTCCTGCCCATTCAGTGTCATTTTGATGTCTTTCTGAGAAGCTGGCAGCAGCACAACAGATGTAAAACAAGACAGAACTGGCAGAACCCATGGGTGAATAGTTACACTGGAAAACACTGTCCAACATGAATAAGTCAGAACTAATTTAATGATAGCACTATGATGTACATGTTCGTGTGAGGCTAGGAAGAGCAGAAAAATAAAATATGCATACACATATACACGTATCAAACACATTTAGTGAGCATTTAGTAGTAAATCATAGGATGTTTAAACTTTAAAATAACTTAAGATCAACAATCCAGTACGAGAAAACTGAGTATTAATCATCACGATAGGGGTAGAGATGGACATGATCTTGTTCTCCTCACTCAGAAAAGTTTCCATTCCAGTATGTAGTATATTGACAGGATAAATGCATGATTTTCATCAGCCACAAAAGTTTAACTATCTGCTCTTTTAAAATGATCATTTTCCCCCTTTTGATTAAGATAGCCATAGTTTTAATGTTTGATATCAAGAACTGTTTTGATTTGGACGTGATAAGTGTTCATTGATATATTTCCAGTCTGGTAAAACCCGAGATGAAATTTAGTCTCCAAATAATCTATACAATAGTTTTTAATCTTTTCACATTTTTACTTTATTTTCAGGAATATATAAGGTTTATCTTCTAATCTTTCTAGTATTTTTTTTAAAATTTTGCTACTATGCTATATATTTCTAAGAACTCAGCCTTGATCTCTAAAAAACATTTCTTTTATTTATTCATTTATTTATTTTATTTTTATTATTCTTTTGAGACAGGGTCCCTCACTCTATCACCCAGGCTGGAATGCAGTGGCATGATCTTGGCTCACTGCCACCTCTGCCTCCCAGGTTCAAGAGATTCTTGTTCCTCAGCCTCCTAAGTAGCAGAGACTACAGCCATGTGCTACCACGCCTGGTGAATTTATGTCGTTTTTTATTTTTTTGAGATGGACTCTCGCTCCGTCACCCAGGCTGGAGTGCAGTGTTGTGATCTCAGCTCACTGCAACCTCCACCTCCTGGGTTCAAGCTATTTTTCTGCCTCAGCCTCCTGAGTAGCTGGGACTACAGGCATGCACCACCACCCCTGGCTAATTTTTGTATTTTTAGTAGAGATGGGGTTTCACCATATCGGCCAGGCTGTTCTCAAAATCCTGACCTCATGATCCGCCCCCCTCAGCCTCCCAAAGTGCTGGAATTACAGGCATGAGCCACCGCACCCAGCATTATTTTACTTTTAGTAGAGACAGGGTTTCGCCATGTTGGCCAGGCCGGTCTCAAACTCTTGGTCTCAAGAGATCCACGTGCCTCGGCCTCCCTAAGTGCTGGGATTACTGGCATGACCCACTGTGCCCAGCCTAAAAATTTATTTTTTAAACTCCGGTTCTTATTTTATGGGTGAAATAACTTCACTTAGCACTCTGAAGATGAGAACTGTTTTTATTTTTACGTTTTTGTTTTTTTAATTCCTCCTACAAAATATATTCTCCTTCTAAGTTTTACCATAGTAGTAGTTGTGGTTTATTTGTTCATTCAATTCTTCAGGTAGTCTTTATCTTCCAGATTAGAGTTTTTATTTTTATTTTTATTTTCTCAGCTATCTGGCATTCCTTAGATGTTTGCTCACATTTAAAAATTGAGAACCAAAAACCTGTTTAGAAATTTGAGGTCAGGTGCAGCACAACAAATGTGAACTTCATTTTTGACTAATCTGATTGGTTCATTTCATTGGGGATTTTTAATGTAAATATCTTCCCTTGCAATGGTCAGATTTTGAGAAAAGATATCTCCAAACCTATAACTTGAGTAATAAATCAGTTTTCTAACATTCTAGACATGACTGAGAGAGGAGTGCTGGAAATCTCAGAAGCCATCATGTAAACATTCACTTAATCACCCTCTTTTGAGTGTATGCTACCTTACACTGGGCCTAGTATCTTTCAATCCAGATACTCTGTTAATCTCTCCCATCTTCTGCTATCACTGAGAAGAAAAGGTGAAGGCTAAAGACTTCTTATATGGATTTGTAACCAAGTCTCCTGTTTTCAGCCTAGCATTCAAACCCCCTTCAATGATACCTTTTGTTACCATGTCATATGACGGATTTTCAAAAAATTCATGAAAAATGTGTTATGAAAAAACTACACGTGGATTGTTTAAAGTTGTACCAAAATCAATCTATGCTAAATTGTTATAACATATAAAGGACATATTTTGAGGCATTAAGAAGCATATGACATCTGTTTGAAAAAGCTCTTATCAGAGTGACATGAATTATGCTAAATTTGAAGTAAGAATGAACATCAAAATAATGGTGAAGCTGGGGTGTAAGAATGTTGAAATCAGTAATACTTTACAAAAAGCTTATGGGGACAGTGTCTCCAAATAAATCATCAGTTTACAAGTAGATAACTTATCTTAAGAAGGGACTGGACAGTGTTGAAGATAGAGCTCACAGCAGTAGACCATTCACATACATTTGCAAGAAAAAATTAATGTTGTGTGTACGTTCATCGAAGAGGACCAATGATTCAGCAGAAATAACAGCCCATACCATAGTCATCTCTGTTGGCTCAGCTTACACAATTCTAAGACATTAAACTTGAACAAACATTCCATTCAATGGGTACCAAAACTGCTGTACTCAGGTTGGCTGCAGACAAGAGCAGAACCTTCAATGGAAATTTTTAACAGTGGGATCAAGATCCTGAAGCATTTCTTCAAAGAATTGTAACACATGATGAAACATGACTTTACAGGTATGATCCTGAAGATAAAGCACAATCAAAACAATGGTTACCAAGAGGTGAAAATGGTCCACTCAAAGCAAAAGTGGAACAGTCAAGAACAAAAATCATGGCAACAGTTTCCTGGGATGCTCAAGGCATTTTGCCTGTTGACTTTCTGGAAGGCCAAAGAATGATAACATCTGCTTATTATGATAATATTTTGAGAAAGTTGGCCAAGGCTGTAGCAGAAAAATGTCCAGGAAAGCTTTATCAGAATGCTCTCCACCAGGGCAATGCTCCTGATCATTTCTCTCATCAGAAAAAGGGCAATTTTGGAAGAGTTTTGATGGAAAATCATTAGACATCAACCTATAGTCCTGACTTGGCTGCTTCCAACTTCTCTATTTTCTAATCTTAAAGAAATCTATATAGGACATCCATTTTTTCTTCAGTTAAGTAAGACTATATTGATATGGTTAAACTCCCAGGGCCATCATTTATTTAGAAGTGAACTAAATGGCTGGTATCATTGCTTACAAAACTGTCTTGAAGTTGATGAAGCTTATGTTGAGAAATAAAGTTTATATTTTTATTTTTATATTTGAACTTAATTTGTTTATGAATTTTTTGATTACTCTTATGTATTTTGGTGGCTGTGCCTTACATCTTTTTTTCCTTGCTGATAGCTTTCTCTCTTCTAATTTAGTTAGTTCATCTTTCATTTTTCAAAATTATATTCTAATTCTCTTGATTGTTTTTCTCTTCATCCTCATGAATTTGTTGTGACATATTTCCCATTTACTGAGGTTCTCTGAGTAAGTATTCACTGCAGTTAATCTTCAGGCTTTACATTAATGTCGAACTTCTTTTTAGATGCTTAAATTGTTATTAGTACTTGTAAAATCAATAGAGAAAGATTCTACTTCGGTTGTTCTGTCAGTTAAAATAAGTGCCTGGTGGATCAAGTATCTGAGAGTATTCTCTAAGAAATATACACCAAACAATCCCCGAAATTTAATCTTCTATTCTATTTTGCTAGACAGGAGACTTAACTCTTTTTTGTTGCATTCATACATCCTTCATTAATAAAAGTATGACTTTACCCAATATAATAACCCAACTTTACTTAGTTAAATGTAAATTATCAAATGTCCTTCCATATTACAAGACATTAATTATACAAGAATATATTTAAAATCTATGACAAACTCACAGCCAACATAATACTGAATAGGGAGAACTGGAACAAGACAAGGATGTCCACTCTCACCACTCCTCTTCAACATAGTACAGGAAGTCCTAGCCAGAGCAATCAGACAAGAGAAACAAATAAAGAGCATTCAAATTGGTAAAGAGGAATTTGAATTGTCACTGTTTGCTGATGTTATTATCATTTACCTAGAAAACCCCAAATACTCCTCCAAAAAGCTCCTAGAACAGGCAAATTAATTTAGCAAAGTTTCCAGATACAAAATTAATGTACACAAATCAGTAGCTCTTCTATATATCAACAGCAACCAAGCTGAGAATCAAATCAAGAACACAACCCCTTTTACAATAGCTGCAAAGAAAAATAAAATAAAATATGTAGGACTATACCTAACCAAGGAGGTGAAAGACCTCTACAAGAAAAACTACAAAACACTGCTGAAAGAAATCATAGATGACACAAACAATTAGAAACACATCCCATGTTCATGGATGGGTAGACTCAACATTGTGAAAATGACCATACTGGCAAAAGCAATCTACAAATTCAATGCAATTCCCATCAAAATACCACCATTATTCCTCACAGAATTAGGAAAAACAATTCTAAAATTCACATGGAACCAAAAAAGAGCCCACATAGCCAAAGCAAGACTAAGCAAAAGGAACAAATCTGGAGGCATCACATTACCTAATTTGAAACTATACTATAAGGCTATAGTCACCAAAACATCATGGTACTCATACAAAAATGGGCACATAGACCAGTGGAACAGAACAAAGAATCCAGAAATAAAACCAAATATTTACAGCCAACTTATCTTTGACAAAGAAAACAAAAACATGAAGTGTGGAAAGAACATCCTTTTCAACAAATGGTCCTGGAATAATTGGCAAGCCACATGTAGAAGAATGAATGAAATCCTCATCTCTCACCTTATAAAAAAATCAACTCGAGATGGATTAATGACTTAAATCTAAGAACTGAAACTATAAAAATTCTAGAACATTGGAAAAACTCTCCTAGACATTGGCTTAGGCAAGGATTTTATGAGCAAGATCCCAAAAGCAAATGCAATAAAAACAAAGATAAATTTCTAGGACTTAAACTAAAGAGCTTTTGCACAGCAAAAGGAATAGTCAGCAGAGTGAACAGAAAACTCATGGAGTGGGAAAAAAATCTTCACAATCTATACATCTGACAAAGGACTAATATCCAGAATCTACGATGAACTCAAACAAGTCAACAAGAAAAAAGAAATCCCATCAAAAACTATGCTAAGGACATCAATAGACAATTCTCAAATGAAGATATACAAATAGCCAGCAGACATAAGAAAAAAACGGCTCAACATCACTAATGACCAGGGAAATGCAAATCAAAACTACAGTGCGATATACCACCTTACTCCTGCAACAATGGCCATAATCACAGGTGGATCGCAAGGTCAGAAGATTGAGACCATCCTGCCTAATATGGTGAAACCCCGTCTCTACTAAAAATACAAAAAATTAGCTGGACATGGTGGCGGGTGCCTGTAGTCCCAGCTACTTGGGAGGCTGAGGCAGGAGAATGGCGTGAACCTGGGAGGCGGGGCTTGCAATGAGCCAACATTTCGCCACTGCACTCCAGCCTGGGTGACAGAGCAAGACTCCATATCAAAAAAAAAAAAAAAAAAAAAAAGAAGGGCCATAATCCACAAATCCAAAAAGAAGGGCCATAATCCACAAATCCAAAAATAGTAGATGTTGGCAGGGATGTGGTGAAGAGGGAATGCTTCTACTCTGCTGGTGGGAATGTAAACTAGTACAACCAGTATCGAAAACAGTGTGGAGATTCCTTAAAGAACTAAAACTAGAACTACCATTTGATCTAGTGATCCCAGGACTGGGTAGCTATCCAGTGGAAAAGAAGTCATTATACGAAAAAGATACTTGCACATGCATGTTTATAGCAGCACAATTTACAATTGCAAAAAAGTGGAACCAACACAAATCCCCATCAATCAACATGGATAAAGAAACTGTGATTTTATATATATATATGTATATGAGGGACTACTACTCAGCTATAAAAAGGAATGAGTTAATGGCATTCACAGTGGTGACCTGGATGAGACTGGAGACTGTTATTCTAAGTGAGGTAACTCAGGAATGGAAAACCAAACATTGTATGTTCTCACTCATAACTATGAGCTAAGCTATGAGGATGTAAAGGCATAAGAATAACAAAATGGACTTTGGGGACTTGGGGAAAGGGTGGGAAGGGGGTGAAGAATAAAAGACAACAAATATGGTGCAGTGTGTACTGCTTGTGTGATGGGTGCACCAAAATCTCACAAATCACCACTAAAGAACTTACTCATGTAACCAAACACCACCTGTTCTCCAGTAACCTATGGAATTGATAAAAATAAAAATAAAAATAAATCTATAACCCTATTCACTGTCATGAATTAATAGCATTTCAGAGCCACCAAAGTAGAGATGGAAGGGATGTCATGTTAAACATCAAAGAGGAGACTTTCTGAACTAGATTCTCAATAGTACAGTGAAGAAATTTCATGAAGCTGTAGGAATCCAATATAAACTTGAAGGACAGCAATTTGAGGTACTTACTTAGGGTCCAAGAAAGAGAGAAAATGCATTCCATTCAGAATTATGCTGCTACCTCAAAAGGAAATCATTATACAAAAAGATACTTATACAGGCATGATTATAGCAGTACAATTTGCAATTGCAAAAACATGGAACCAGCCCATCAATCAACTAGTGGATAAACAAAATTATATATATATATATATGAAATATATACATGAAATATACATGAAATATATACATGAAATATACATGAAATATATACATGAAATATATACATGAAATATATACATGAAATATATACATGAAATATATATATGAAATATATACATGAAATATATACATGAAATATATATGAAATATATAATATATGTATATACCATTGAATAGTATTCAGCAATAAAAATCGTATTCAGCAATAAAAAGGAATAAAGTAATCGCATTTTCAGCAATCTGGATGGAATTGGAGATTTATTCTAAGTGAAGTAAGTCAGGAATGGAGAACCAAACATCGTATATTCTCACTCATATGTGGGAGCTAAGCTATGACGATACAAAGACATAAGAATGACACATTATCATGCCACTGCACTCCAGCCTGGGCAACAGAGCGAGACTCCGTCTCAAAAAAAAAAAAAAAAAAAGAATGACACATTAGACTTTGGGGACTCAATGGAAAGGGTTGGGAGTGATGAGGGATAAAAGACTACACATTGGGTACGCTGTATGTACACTGCTTGAGTAATGGGTGCACCAAAATCTCAGAAATCACCAATAAAGAATTTATTCATGTAACAAAACATTCACTATTTGTTCCCCAAAAACCTATTGTAATAAAAAACATTTAAAAAATTATATTGCTACCTCAGATGAACAATGATCATTAGCAAGTCTATTGGCCTGAGGATTTAAGTGGTCAAATTAATTCATAACTGGGAAAACACTTTCCACATGTGGAAGACCACACCTTCTAGTAGAGAGTAGTTGGAGAGAGTATGGGTTGAGTTGTGTTACCTCCAAATTCCTGTTTTTCCCAGAATCTCAGAATATGACTTTACTTGAAAATTGAATCAGTCATTGCTGATGTAACTAAGATTAACTCCTACTGAAAAATGTGCGACTTAAATCTTTTTTATGACTGATATATTTATAAAACAATAAGAAACAGAGATACACTAGAGAATGTCATGCAGTGACAGAGGCAGAGATTGCAGTGATGCATCTACAAACCAGCGAAGGCCAAGTAATGCTGGCGACACTAGGAGCTGAAAGAAGGGAACTGAGCAGATTCTTCCTACGGCCTTCATAGAGAGCAAGCCCTTCCACTGTCTCAATTTTGGACTTACTAGTCTCTGTGGAATAAATATATGTTTTTTAAACCTCCCTAAGTATGATAATTTGTTAAGCAGTTCTAGGAAACTAATACAGACACGATTCTCCAAACTCAGAAGGTGGAATCTTCTAGAAAAATGCAGAACATAACACAATATGTAGCTAAATCCAAGACCATGCCAATTAAAAAGCTAGGTAGAAAAGGCTTGCTCACTTGCAAGTAGTTTCAAAACCCATAAAAAAAAATCCAAGCAGAGAAAATGTTGCTTCCAGAGGTCTCCCCAGTCTTCCTAAAATGCTAAAACTTTTGAATGTGTGGACCTACTACAGGGTGACTTTTTATAGTACTGAGTCAATATGGCAGTTGCCTGAAAATAATTGACTACAATTATATTTGTACCTGGAGACATATGTAGGGATAGGACTAGACTGGACACAGAGCCTGGGGACTTAGCAACATATACAAAAAGAAGGCACTGCACTTTGACTAAGTAGTATTTGATGATAGTCTTTACAACTCTCAGTTAGTATAGTCTCTATTCGTTCTCCTTAGATAAGTACAGCACCTACCCAAATATCTTGGTGCTTACAGGAGGACAAACACAACATGTAAGAGATAAAGAAGAAAGCTACGTGTAAAGGCAATCAATTCAAGTAAAGCAGGTATACATTTGGAGCAACTGAACTGCAATACATTTTTAAGAAAATTTTAATTGGCCTGGTCTTGGATTTAGCTACATATTGTGTTATGTTCTGCATTTTTCTAGAAGGTTCCACCTTCTGAGTTTGGGGAATGGTGTCTGTATTAGTTTCCTAGAACTGCTTAACAAATTACCACACTTAGGAAGGCTTAAAAAACATATATTTACGCTACAGAAATAATAATAGTAGTAGCAGTACTAACAATAATGATAGAATAACTAATGTCGTAGTTTGTGGATATATAAGAGAATGTCATGGCAACTGTCTCATATGATTATGGAGCCTGGGAAGTTCCATCATGTGCTGTCTGTAAGCTGGGGACTCAGGAGAGCTGGTGGGGCAATTCAGTCTGAATCCAAACACCTGAAAAGCAGGGGAGCTGATGGTAAAACTCCTAGTCTTAGGCCAATAACCTGAGAACTCTGGGGATTGGAGTGGAGGATGGAAGTCTCAGATCCTAAAGGCTGAAAACAAAGAGATGCAATGTCTGAAGACAGGAAAAGATGGATGCCTCAGCTCAAGAAAAAGATGAATTTGACCTTCTTCTGCCTTTTTGTTCTATCTGGCCCCTCAATGAATTAGATGATGCCTGTTCACATTGATGAGAACAAATTTTCTTCACTCAGCATACTGATTCAGATGTTAATCTCTGCACTTGTATGCCTGAACTTAAAAGTTAAAATAAATAAACAAACAAACTGTCTAACAAGTGTTAACCTCTTCTGGAAAGCCAGAAATAATCTTTTACTAGTTATCTGGACATCCCTTAATCCAGGCTACTTAACACATATAAATGGCAATTACAATGATGAAATCCAAATCCAAAGACAGGCAGACTGATTCCATAGCCCTTAAGTACTCTGCCTAGATTGTCCAATCGAACATTTCTCCAATAATAGAAATATTCTTCTGTGCTGTTCAATACTGTTTCCACCAGCCACACATAACTGGTAAACACTTAAACCTGTCCAATGTGATGCAAATGAGAAACTGAATTTTTAATTTTATTTAATTTAAATTAACTTACTTTTAATTAGTAATGTGGCTAGTAGCCATTGCATTAGGCAGCCAACTCTATAGTTTATAATTTCTATAGACATGTGGAACAAAAGGGCTCAGTATTTTGCAATGTTCATGAAAAGTAAGCAATATCTGGATGTATCCTGAAATGTTATTGAATCCTAAGACTGAGGATAGAATCTATCATGGACCAGTTTCCTTACCTTTTTTTGCATAAGTAAATGAGTTCTAACTAGAATCATAATATTAAATATCTCAATATTAAATATCAGACAAAAATGACTCTATAAATAAAGTCACTAATTATAAAATAAATACATGAGCTGAAATATTTAATATATGCCTATAAATTGCATTTATAAAATGTATTGATTTAAATAGTCACATTCATAATAATAAGCAAAAATATAAAATACTAAGGAATGAAGTGAATGAAAGAAGTATAGAATTTGTATCAAGAAAGGCCTAAACATCTCCTAATAGTTATAAAATTTGCTTTAGTGAATGGAAAGTTATACCACCTTCTTATATGTGAACACTCAATCACATAACTTTGCCTATTCTTTCTAAATTTACATATGAATTAAGTGCAATGCCAATAAAATTACCTTGGCTGAAACTACATAAAGTAAGTTAAAACTTAAAGAAAAAAACTAAAAAGTTATTAAACCATATATATGGCAGGAAAGGACTATCTACATTTTAATAATTTATAAAAATATCTTACACCCATAAAGGAAAGAACATGCCAGTAGAAGTGGAATAGAGACAGAAAAGGGAAAATAAATGAAAGAATTTATAAGCATCTAATCAAGAGAAAGTACATTGTCATTTAAAAAGTTCTTTTCTTAAAGTTTTGAAGGACAGTGATTGTTGTAGTCCCAGATTTTGAAAAATTACATTAAGAATTACCAGCTGATAGTTAACATGTACTGGATTAATTATGTAATCAATAATGTCAGCTGGTAGTTCTTGGTTTTCTATGTAAACCAAAAATTTGCAAAAATAAGCTTTACTGCCTCTTGCAAGTGAACTGAAGGTGAATCTGTGTAATTTTGTGACACCTGCTGAACCTGGCCAAAGAATTCCATTCTACTTCCTTTCAAGGAAAGTTTAGAAAAGACAGATATAACCTTAAGTGGATAAGTTATCAAATCCATGTTCTCTTATCAATAATTAGGGAAGGCTGATTTGTAATACAGGACAGAAGAGATTGTTTACCTTCTTTTAGAAACACTTATCAGAGGGAGACTTGAGGATATTCCAAGTCTATTGCATGGCACTTTGGAAGAAGACTTGCATTCCCTATTTTTGACTAGTCATGGAGGGATTGTGGATTCTGTCATACAGGTTTTAAGAGCAGTACAATGATTTAAATAAAAACTATTATTATCAGATGAGCTAACTGGACAGCATTTTTAATATTCTGAACAATGGATTTAAGATCCATGTGGACAAACTTTGTCTGTTTTGTCACTGATGTTTCTCCAGCCGAGTCTCTGTCATACATTTGATACTGAATAAATATTTAAGTGAATAGATTAATTGATGTTCAATTAAATATTTTCCCATTCTGTTCAGTTTTGAAGCAGAAAGTGTTCTTCTCTGGCCATCTACAGTCTACTTTTGAACTAGGGGTGAAAAATTATACAATTTAATCAAAAACAATGTAGTTTATTGCTTACAACCATAATCACTGATCAAACCCATATGTGGGTTTTAATTTTGGAAAATTAAGCCAAGGTCGGTAGCAAAGGAAAGAAGAAGGAAATCACTATAGGAAAATTAGGTAGGAGAAAAATGTGGAGCGTTCACAAGATGAATTGTTTATAATTCATCTAGAAATGAGAGAATGTGTTACATCTAAGTAGAAGAAAAACAGATCCTGAAATTCTGTATCTCTTGCTTCCACTGACAAACTTAGATACTTAAATTCACATGTTTTAATCAATGGACTACGCATTCTCCGTTTTTGTTTGTTTGTTTGTTTGTTTGTTTTGAGTAACAAAATAATGGAGGTAGCAGGGGGCAAGTATATTACAGGACATTTAGCTAAACAATTTGTATACATCATACACCATTATTGTCTCCTTTTCTGCTATCATAAATACTGTTTTTCAATCTCTTCCAGTTTTAACAATGAGGCAATTGAGGTGTTCTGAAAATGTATTTTCAGATTTGGTGAGAAAAATATGTTTCTCCTTGAGCGTCTTCTGATGCCTAATTTACATCTGGTTGCTAAGAAAGCCTTCTGTGTGTGTGTGTATGCGCGCGTGCGTGCACTTGCGCACATGTAGATGCATATATACTCTTGCATGTTCATTCTCTTGCTCTCGGAACTAATGCTTAAAAACTGATAACGAGTTTTAGATGATAGAGTATTAAAATAGACATATTGCAAAGATTTTTAAAATAAACACATATCTGTCACCCTCATTGTCATTTATTACAAGAAAAAAACTGCTGAAAGGTGATTTCTATTTTAGGAGCAAATAAAAAAATACACGGATTCTATTACTAAGCACATGCTAAAATCATTTTGTTTTGCCTATGTTTGAATGCAATAAAAGCATCACAGCTGAAAAGCTAAATGTAAGGATCATTTAAATTAGTGTCTGTATATCTTCTAGAAGGTATATGGTAATTAATTTATCCCTGGTCCATCAGGGGCTATGATTTTTTTGTTTAGCCTCCTTGGATGTATTCTCTCTTAATGATTATAGTATTACAGAAGGCAAAAAAAAAAAAAAAAAAAAAAAAAAAACCTAGTGAGATTGTAAGAATATTAGTTTCTCATTGCCTTGTTTATAAATTAACACAAACTTAGTGACTTAAACCAACACAAATTTATTATTTCATAGTTATGCATCAGAAACCCAGCAATAACCTTAAGTGGATACATGATCAAACAATATGGTTCTCATGTCAATGATCAGGGATGACTGACCTGTCAGAAAAGAAGAGGTTGTTTAACTCCTTTTATAAACATTTATCGGAGGGAGAATTGATGATCTACTAAATCTACTGTGGCCTGGCACTCTGGAAGAGGACTTGCGTTCCCTATTTTTGATTAGTCAAGGGAACATTGTTGATTCTGTCATATAGATTTTAAGAGCAGTACAATAATTTAAATAAAAGCTGCTACTTTCATGTGAGCTGTTATGTAATTGAGTGTTCATATATAAGAAGGTGATACAACTTTCCATGTACTTAAGAAAATCAGTTTCACTTGGTTAAAATCAAGATATGGCATGGCTGCATTCTTTCTGGAGTTTTTAGGGAGAATCTGTTACCTGGCTTTTTGCAGCTTTTGGAGGCTGCCCTCTTTCCTTGGCTCCTGACCCTGCATCATTTTGATTTCTGCTTCCTTTATCATATCTCTTGCCTTCCTCTTAAAAGGACTTTTGTGATTATAGTGAGCCAACCTGGATATTTAAAATAATATTACCATTTCAATATCTTTAATTTATATCTACAAAGTGCCTTGTGCTATGTAAGGTAACGTATCGCAAACACTGTGGATTATGGCATGGGTATCTTTTGGGGTCATTATTTTGCTTAACACAATGGATTTCTTCAAAAAATATCAACTTGACTACGTGAATTAGAGAAAATATTTTGAAAACGTAAGTAAGTAAAATGATTTCTTCTTTTATATCTCTTGACTAATTGTTTTCCAAGCTGGCATTTGAAAAAACAGGTAATAAAACATCTGTGGCGTGCTCCTGGCTCAGTTTGGCACAGAGTAACAACACAGTTTTAAAAATCATGCCCAAAGGCATGGCATCTCTCTCATGTAAAACATCAAACTAAGTTTATAAAATATGCTCTTGAATGCAAAGGATAGGGTAACTGGTGGCTATCAAGGATCTAGGGAACTTAGATTGGGAGTAGACCACCTTCCTCCACTTCCCAAACCATTGTTCGTTAAATCAGCAGTGTCTCTGACAGGTGCATGACAATTTTTCTCAATGATAAACAATATTTTGTTTCTATGGGGCCTGAGGTTACTGAATATGAGACATTAAATTAACCTCAGAAATCTAAGTCTTGAATAAAGTGTTTTTCTACCTTATTCCCTTTTGCTTTAATATGAGATTACATAAACTGAAATTCACTTCAGAGCCTCAAACACACTGAAAACTGTCAGAGATTCCCATTAGAGAACCATATTTTATATTTTGTTTGTTTTAAGGTTTAAGACGTTTAATCTGGGCGTGTGCATTTGTGCATGGATATTGCTTAGATACTAAGATGTGCCAAAAACAATTTCTAACTCCACGCAAAACAGCAATATTTCTATAATTCCTCTAATGAGACAAAAAATGTATAGCTTAAAAGAAAAAGACCTGAAATCAGCATTAGCTACAAATCTTAGAGGGTTAGAAGCAGACTCTTCTAAAAGGAACTCTTTATAACTCATAGTATTTTGTATTTTATAAAAATGTTAATTCAGAGATTTAAATGATTTATTCAATGTGAAAAAATAAGAAAATTGATTAAGCAAAATTATATGAAATAAAATTTCATTAGATCAACCAATTAATGACCTAAAATATAACTAATTACATAAAATTTTAAAATAGAAATTGCATTTAATCAACTAGACTTAGATATGCAGTTAGTTTTAGACAACGAGTTGAAACATTCTACTGCCAGGCACAGTGGCTCACGCCTGTAATCCCAGCACTTTGAGAGGCGGAGGCAGGTGGATCACCTGAGGTCAGAAGTTCGAGACCAGCCTGGCCAACATAGTGAAAACACGTCTCTACTAAAAATAAAAATTAAAAAAACAATGAGCCTGGTGTGGTAGCGGGCACCTGTAATCGCACCTACTCTGGAAGCTGAGGCAAGAGAATCGCTTGAACCAGGGAGGCAGAGGTTGCAGTGAGCAGAGGTCACACCATTGCACTCCAGCCTGGGTAACAAGAATGAAACTTCATCTCATAAAATGAAAAAAAAGAAAAAAGAAAAGAATTTCAAACTAAATCCACATAAAGAAAGACTGTGTCTGTAATCTTTAAGACAATTTAAAGTCTAATTTGATATTACTTTTTTTAAAAAAAGTTTATATCCATGGCAGAAAAGATGTTTGAATTTGGAAAGACAAAAGAGTTTTAGCAAGAATATTTAGAAGAATAAAACACATTTCAGGTTGAGTAATGAAATCAAATCAGTGATAATTTTTTAAAATGTTTTGATTTCCATAAATTTATTTTACATTCTATACTAAAATTTGTGATGTGTCAAGAAGTTATTTATATCTAATTGAATCTATGAATTGTATTTCATTCTTTCTCTTTTCAAGATTGTTTCAATGATATAGTATTATAATTGGTATTTTTTAGAATTGTGAAAGTTTTTTGAGATCAAATAATTCAGTTAATTTTAAACTTGAAGGAGAGCTGAGAGAAAAGACAGAATAGAGGTGAACTGATTTGCTACCACGTAAAATAAATTACATAGTATCGTTGGTTTACAACAAACATTTATTTAGTACCCACACATATTCGTTGGCTGAAGATCAGCTGCAGATCATCTTTAGGCTAGGCATACCTAGGATGTCCTTGCTCCCTATAACTCTACTCTTCCTACTGGTACCCCTGAACTAGGCCGTGCATATTCATTGTGTATTGATTGCAGTGGCAGAGGCAGTTGAGTCAAACTTTTCTTTATCCTTTATGTTACAAATAGTCCAACTGTAATATTTTAGTCATTTTAAATGTACAATTAAATTATTTTGACTATAGTGCTATCAAATACTAAGCATTTAGTATTTGCTGTGCTATCAAATACTAAGCATTGTTGTTCTATCAAATACTAAACATTATTCATTGTTTTATCTATATTTTTGTACCCAAAGCCATCCCCACCTCTCCCAACACATCTCTTTAATATGCACCAGTATATATTGATTTTCGTTCTTTCGGGTATATACCAAGTGGGACTGCTGGATCGTATGGAAGCTCTATTTTTATATTTTTGAGGAACCTCCAAACTGTTCATCACAGCAGTTGTATTAACTTATTTTCCCACTAACAGTATATGAGGTTTTCTTTTCTTCACATCCTCTCCAGCACTTGTTATTGCCTGTCTTTTTAATAAGAGCCATTTTAACTGGAGCAAGATGATATCTCACTGTCATCTTGATTTGCATTTTTTGATGATCAATGATCTTGAGCTTTTTTTTTTTTTTTTTTTTTTTTAGACAGTCTCACTCTGTCGCCTAGGCTGGAGTGCAATGGCACTGTGTCAGCTCACTGCAACCTCTGTCTCCTGGGTTCAAGCAATTCTCCTGCTTCAGACTCCTGAGTAGCTGGGATTACAAGTGTCCACCACCACGCCCAGCTAATTTTTATATTTTTAGTGGGGATGGGGTTTTACCATGTTGGGTAGGCTGGTCTCGAACTCCTGACCTCAAGTGATCCACCCGCCTAGGTCTTCCAAAGTGCTGGGATTACAGATGTGAGCCACCGCACCTGGCCTGAGCACTTTTTATATGCCCATTTGCCATTTGCGTATCTTCCTTTGGGAAATGTCTATTCAAATTATTTGCCGATTTTTTTATTGGATTATTAATTTTTTTCCAATAAAGTTGTTTGAGCTGTTTATATATTCTGGTTATTAATCCAATGTCAGATGAATAGTTTTCAATTCTCCCATTCTGTGAGTTGCTTCTTCACTTTGTGGGTCGTTTCCCTTGATGTGCAGAGGCTTTTTGATTTGATGTGATCCCATTTGTCCATTTTTGCTTTGGTTGCCAGAGCTTACAGGGTATTGCTCAAAAAATTTTTTCCCAGACCAATGTCCTGGAGAGTTTCCCCAAAGTTTTCTTGTAGTTTCATAGTTTGAGGTCTAAGATTTAAGTATTTAAACCATTTTGATTTGATTTTTGTATATGTCAAGAGATACGGGTCTAGTTTTATTCTACTGCCTATGGTTATACAGTTTTCCCAGCACCATTTATTGACAAGACTGTCATTTCTTCAATATATGTTCTTGACACATTTGTCAAAAAATGAGTTCATTCTTGGTATATGGATTTGTTTTGGGGTTCTGTATTTTGTTCCATTGATCTATGTGTCTTTTTATGCCAATACCATGCTGTTGTGTTTACTATACCTTTGTAATATAATTTGAAGTCCAGAAATATGATTGATTACTCCAATTTTGTTCTTTTTGCCCAGGACAGCTTTAACTTTTTTGGGTCTTTTGTAGTTCCATATAATTTTTTAGGATAATTTTTTGTATTTCTGTGAAGAATGTTATTGGCATTTTCATAGAGATTACATTGAATGTGTAGATTGCTTTTAGGTAGTATGGACATTTTAACAAATGTTGATTCCTCCAATTCGTGAACATGGAATATCTTTCTAATTTTTTGTGTCCTCTTTGATTCCTTTCATCAGTGTTTTATAGTTTTAATTGTAGAGATCTTTTACTTTCTTGGTTAATTCTTAGAAATTTATTTTTATTTGTGGCTATTTTAAATGGGATTAGTTTTTTAATTTATTTTTCAGATTGTTCATTGTTGGCATATAGAAATGCTACTGATTTTTGTATGTTGGTCTTGAAGCCTGCCACTTCACTGAATTGGTTGATCACTTCTGGTAGTTTTTTGGTGGAGTCTTTAGGTTTTTCTGTTTGCAGACCTAAGGACTCTGCTCAGTGTCCTATCCTACTATGGGTGAGCTTGTATCTAAGATAAAGTCTTTCTTCTTTTTTTCCCCTCCTTTTAAGCGTAAGGAAGAAGACACTTCTGTTGCTGGCAGACCCATTGCCTGAGGTTGGGGTGGGGTGGGGTAAGCAATCCTTTAGCTGCCCTGGCTGATATCTCTGTAGGTCACATGCCACTCTACTCCTCTGTTTCTGAGCCTAGCCTAGCACTAGGAGTTGCCTAGGAATTACAGTCTTTGTGTCCTACATTGCCTTTCAAGTTTACCTAGAGACCCAGAGCACTTTGGCCCATGATGGTGAGCCTTGCTGAGAAACTTGAGTTTTAACAGACCGGATAGGTGAGATTCCTCTCTAGCTAGGGCTGGTCCAAATGCTCCCTCTGTGCATGGGTGCTGGCTGAGCCCAGCGTGGCTCTATACTCCACCATGACAGGATAGCACTGAGTCTAATATAATGTCGCCCAGCTGCTGTGTTCTACCTCACCCAGGTGCAGATTCTCTGCCCGGCATGGCCAGCCACTGTTGGTGGATGGGAGAGGGAAGGCATTGGCAATTGAAGACTGTCTCTCCTGCACTCTTCTATGCCTCTTTCAACAGTATGAAGTTAAAACCAGGTACCAGGTAGTATGATCACTCACCTGATTTTTGGTTCTTGTGATGGGGCTTTTCTTTATGCAAACGGTTGTTAAAATTTGGTGTTCCTGTGGGGCAGGGAGTACAACCAGTGTTGGCTTCTATTCCACCATCTTGCTCTGTTCATTGGTCTTGGTATTTTCTTTGTGAAAAGTTATTTATTATTCAATCTCTTTAGTTAATATACATCTATGCAAATATTCTGCTTTTTCTTGAGTCAGTTTTGCCAATTTGTGTTTTTCTAGGAATTTGTCCGTTTTATCTAGGTTATCTAATGTATTAGCATACAGTTGTTAATTGTAGTTCACTGTAATCAAGGCATCAGTAGATTCAGTTTTTAGTGAGGGTATGTCTTCTGGTTCACAGATGGCAACTTTTAGCTGTGTTCTCACATAGTGGGAGAGGCAAAGCAGGTCTCTGGAGCCTCCCTTTTAAGGGCAGTAATCCTATTTATGAGGGCAGAGCCCCGTGAATTACCTCCCAAAGGGTGCAGTTCTTAATGCATCATGTTGGTGAGTAGGTTTCAAAATAAGAATTTGGGGGAAACACAAACATTTAAACTATAGCAGCATTTTTATTATTAAACATTGAGTACTTTTATTACTCCATGAATATATAGCTTATGTAGTCAACTATGTAGATGAAAACATTGTTTTACCTTTGTTGCTGATATGCTGCAATATTGTTCAACAATGTAATGCTTTTACATTTGTATTTGCAATTCATGTGAATGTTTATTTTTTCCAGAATAATTCTCTGCAACAATCAAGACCAATTGCATTAAGACAAAAAGTTTACAAAATGACAAGATCATTACATAATTTACAACTCTGTTGATAGAGTACCTATACAAGTAACACTAAGTATGTATAATGAGCACACTGTACATACTTCAAAATTTGCGTTTTTCTCCTATACGTGGTTTAAATTTTATGTCCCTTTTTTTCAGGCATATAAAATTGCAAAGACCTTGTGAAGCTGCTGTCATCTCCAGTATGAGAAGTCAGCAGCAGGCACTGCCAGAGCAATCGGGAAACAAAACTTTTACTTTCCTACCTGATGCATCCCCTTCAATCAAATCTATCCCAGGAGGAGGAAAGACGTTGTTTGTCAAGCCAAACAGCAGAGTGAAAGAAATGTCACTTTTAACTTAGAAATAGAGGAAGAGAAAATAATAGGCCCAGAAATGAAAACAAAAAAGTTTACTATATATTCAGAATCAAACTGTGTAAATAACATCCTACTATATTCCCAGGTGTGGAAATTGCATGTTATCAGGACTACGGAAAGTAATTGGGTTACTACAGCATTGCATTGTACATATCCACTCTTACGTTTTCTCATCTCTCATTGATCATTTAACTCCATTTTAGGAAATCCAGTCTGTCATGAAAATCTTTAGAAATAATTCTTTAATTATTGCACTTTATTAATCGATCTTGAATTTTTCCATGAATGTAGAGAAAAGTTATCTTTAAATGGATAAGCTAAGTATTATTTTAACAGCTGCTTCTTTTTGTGTTTACAGTTTACTAACTGCTTTCATTTTAAACCTGTGATAATAATATGTATTTCACTACACAGGCTATCTTTTAACAAAATTATTTGTTTTCATGCTGAAAAGTATGCACACAATGAGATAGTAAAATCATTAGAGGCAACTGAATTTGTATACAGGATTTTTCAAGTTGCCTAATAACATCTGACGTAAAAGTATAAACATTTTAAAAAGTAAACAGAAATCGTTTTTTGTTTAACCTAGTGGAATGCTCTTTCTGTGGTTCTGTTAAAATGAACTATGGTATATTGTTAAATTTACAATAGATTAGATTTATTTTTGAATAATTCTATTGATTATAATGAAATGCTATTTTCAAAGAATTTTTGAATTTCTGGCTTCAAGAGTTCTATTTTATTCTGTTTTTAAAAATTTCCTGAGCAATTTATTGTTTTCTCTCACTTTAATTTTGCCAAAAAGAATTGCTAGATACCAGGGAAAACTCTGTCTTAGTCTATTCAGGCTGCTATAGCAAAATATCATAAACTAGGTGACTTAAACAATAAACATTTATTTCTCACAGTCCTAGAAGCTAGGAAGTCCAGGTACAAGGTTTCAGCAGATTTGATGCCTGGTGACAGCCTACTTTCTGTTTTATAGAAGCAGTCTTCTGCATGTCATCACATGAGGGAGAAAGGAAGCAAGATCTCTGGGGACTCTTATAAGGACACTAATCCCATTCATGGGAACTTCATCCTCATGACCTCATCTAATTCTAGTTGCCACAGGAAGACCCCAGCTCCTAATATCATCACGTTAGAGAGTGGAGTTTCAACTATGCACTTTGGGGAAACACAAATATTCAATCATGCATTTTTTTATGTACAAAGAGTCCACTCAGTCATTTGGAGGAAGTAATATTTATGCACAAATAATTATAAGAAAAGGATCAAGTTTATTGTGAAAAATAGCTCCTAATATTAAGGTGAAAAAAGACCAGATTGCAAAAGACAATTCCAGACTACTTCCATGGTAGCTTTAGCTTTTATTTAGCGAAGTAAGGTAATGAAGTGGCATTGTTTACACATGTAGTAGTTGCTTTGCCAGTTTACACTAATGTTGCCCATATTAATCAAATGAGCTACCATAGAATACAATTAAATGGCAAATTTTGAAGTATGTACAGTGTGCTCATTATACATACTTAGTGTTACTTGTATAGGTACTCTATCAACAGAGTTGTAAATTATGTAATGATCTTGTCATTTTGTAAACTTTTTGTCTTAATGCAATTGGTCTTGATTGTTGCAGAGAATTATTCTGGAAAAAATAAACATTCACATGAATTGCAGATACAAATGTAAAAGCATTACATTGTTGAACAATATTGCAGCATATCAGCAACAAAGGTAAAACAATGTTTTCATCTACATAGTTGACTACACAAGCTATATATTCATGGAGTAATAAAAGTACTCAATTGCTGTTTAAAATCTTAAAATAACCTTGCTTAAAATATGCTTCAGCCTCCAGTACAAAAAAAGTAATAGTTTAGCTCTCTTAAGAATTTATATTTAGCCAGGAGCAGTGGCTCATACCCGTAATCCCAGCACTTTGGGAAGCTGAGGAGGGAGGATTGCTTGAAATCAGGAGCTTGAGGCTAGTCTAGGCAACATAGCAAGACCCCCATGTCTACAAAACATAATATAAAATAAAATATTTTATATTTTATATAAGATAACTTATTTCTAAGTATTAGTTTTAATAATTTTCCCTTTGGAAAACTGAGTCACTACTCTATCTAGAAACATTATATTGACAATTAAAGGGAAAAATAATATTTTTTATTGTAAGGATAATTTTTAGATGGACACAAAGATATTAATTGACATTTTTATTTTTGGGGTTTTCTCTTGGTAGTTATTTTTTCTTCTTTAAGTGTTACTAGAGTTAAGATTTTGTAAGTGGGCCTAAAGAAGATGTTAGATAGAAACACATGACTACCCTGATATTTAGATACAATATAGTCCGAATCAATGAGGCCTGAAAATTACCCAGATATAAACACTATCTGCTTTAACATCTTTACTTTAAGTGAGGGTCCTGAGCCCAGAAAGTGTTGTTATAATTGAGGCAAATTTTAAAGATAAAAAAATTGGAAAATAGTGCCCTGATTACCCGCAAAAAGGAGTTTCTAAAACTTACTCAAGTTTAAAGTTTTGGCACTTTCAAAGCATGCATTTTACATACGTAATTACCATCTGCTAAATCTTCTGCATTTTTGTTGCCTAATAGCTCTATCTAGATTTGAAGTTCATTTGGCTGGCGTTCATAGAACCAAACATGAATCACAGAATGTTTATTTTAATTTATTTCCTAGTAATTGATAAAGAGATAATTTTCACTTACATATTAGAAACTTATAGTGCCATATACTATGGACTTTTGTAGATTTTACTTTCCTGAATGTACTGAGACATACCTGGAATGTTTTGGTGAAATACTACTAAACAAAAAAGCAATACAAAATGGTATGAATCAACTAAGTTGAAGTATCATCTACTTATGATAATATTTAATTGTTAAACTACAACAAAAATCATTCTACATTAAACTTGTAATGATGAGTTTTTTCCATAATAACATTTATTTATGAATTATCACTGGGGCCATATTGATCCTCTATCTGTGAGTATAAATATCAAACCTGGTAATACTAACTGCACTCTTTTCCTTTACTAATGTGCTTCAATTCAGAACCAAAAAGTTCTGTAATATAGTTCTGTTTCTGCAGAGGTCTTCAACAAACATAATGGCTGTCGCCAACGAAATTATTGCATGCAAAGCAAATGCTTCAAATTGCAATGCTCTCCATCTTTCCCTTGCCTAATAGATATTGTTGAAATGGCAAACATTTTGTTCTGGCCTAGGAATCTTTGGTTGAGCTATGATTTGTAAAATTAAAGGCCTTGTGCCTTATTGCTAATTTATTCTCAAGTTTCAACAAAAGTGTTTTTGCATCTGCACACTATCCATCTCCCTCACACTCACATTTTTCTTGTCTGGTTTTAAGCTCCATAGTATAATGTGTTTCAGCTTTGATTCTTTGATACAAGCAACTTCTGCTTGTTTTAATATCTAAAGCTGTAGCTGGATGCATTATTGATAAGTGCAGTGGAACTTCTGCTGAAGCTTGTGAAACAGTTATTTGGTGTCTGAGTCATGAAAAAAACATTCTTATGGAAACTTCATTATGCCTTTTCTTACACATGGCATGTGTTTGATTACTTCTGCCACCTTCTTAATGTTGATTGTCACTTTAGTTTCTTTCTCCTTGAAATCGCTAGGTATCATTTAATGTAGAGAATATACCCATCTGTAGTGTAAATTATGCATGTTTTTATTTTAGCTCACTTGCTATCAAATCCAAATTCTTTTTCTGAACAGCAAAAAGTTAGTTTTACATTTATGCATCTTTCCATGTGGTTTGTGCTTAGTTAGATAAAGTTTCAAAGCAGTAGTCACATTTTTACTTGTCTTTTTTAATTAAAAAAAAAGAAAGCTGAAATATTTTCTGCATTTTTTTTTCCAAAGGAAACCTAAGTTGCTATATTATGACCTTGGACCAAATGTACAATTGAACTGTTAATACAGTCAATATTAATGTACCTCATATTAAAAAATGAAACAATAGTTTAATGAATGCAACTTTTATCTAATTTCATTTACTTTTATTGGAATGATGCACTTTAAGCTTACAAGGCTTTTTCCATCCATTTCTGCGGACTTTGACACAGTAGCAGAGCCCTCTGCTCTTCCTGATAGAGAGGGGACTTTCAGTGGTTAGTTGGTTGCTTTCTTGAAGGGACTAATGCTTACTAGAGAAAAATATATTCTTCAACAGCAGAAGCACGGAGGCATTTCAACTGAATGTGTTTACAGAGCACGTGAGCTCTAAACCAACGCTGGCTTTCCATTACATTATAGAGTCTCTCAAAGAAGCTGGATGACACATTTTCTGCACTATTGAATATACTATGTTCCTATATGATTCATATTATATGCAAATGACCTTAAGAGATATACACTTTTAGTACACTTGAAGTTTAGATTATTTTATTGTCTAACATGCACTAATTTTTATATTTATTTAAAATATTCTGATATAAATCACACTGAATTTAGCATTTAAGAAAATAGTTGTGAGTTTTTGCTCTTGACTGACTCACTTATGACCAACCACAATCTCTACTTACACAAAGACTGCTCAGTAGCTTTCGTTATAATCTACCAAGAAAAGGAACAGACACTTAAAGCATATGGAGAAGAAGACATTTAGTAAGTACCTGTCTTGTTTTTCAGTGTATGGTTTAATTATTTATACTCACTATCTAATTGGCATTCTAAGCTTTATTGTCAGGTTATTTTTCCTGATATAGTAATAGATGATGACTTCTTCTCACCCTCCAACTATAAGGAAGTATTCATACATTAACTCAATACATATTTATTAACTACCTACTACATCCCACTTTTCTAGCTCTTGGGATTTGTCAGTGATCAAAGCAAAGTAAAAGCTCTGTCCTTTAAAACATTTTATTCCTGCAAGGAAGCATGAAATAAAGATAATAATTAAGTAAACTATACGTGAAGGAGAAGGTCCCAACTGTTGTAATGTAAAGTAGAGCAGGTTAGGAATGGTACCTCAATGAAAAGGTTATTTGAAGTGCATAAGAGATTCAGATATGTAGAAATACAAGGAAAAGAATCTTCAGAATACACTAATGTGGAAGCACACTAAACAAGGTGATAGAAGGCAAGATCATTATAGTTGGAGAAATGTGAGACAGCGGAGGAATAGCAAATATTGAGGTTGGAGAGATGTATGTGGAGTATGAGACACTTTGTGTAGGGATTTTGGCCATTGTAAGCAATTTTCCTTTTACTTAGGGTTTTGAATATGGGAATGATCTGAACTATTTAAAGGAATCACTCTGGAAGCTGTGCTGAGAGTATCCTGTAGGGATGAAGGATAGAAGTGTGGGAATCAACTCGGGAATCATTGTAATAATTCTGGTCAAAGTTATTCATGGCTTGGACCAGAGTGGTAACAAAAGGTTTTCAGATTCTTAATATTGATTTAGCATCATTGAAAACCTTAAAAAAAGAAGACCTTAGTACATATTCAGTGAGCCAGAGTTATTAGTTATTCTAAGAATTGCATTTTGGATTTATCATTTGTTTTCCTAAAACAACAGCATAATTTATTGAATTACCAGGCTAGATTAAAATTCCAAGAATTAGGACCTATTTTGACTACCATTTTTAAATACACGTAAAGGCTCTCCCATGTGCAATGGGCATGATATTCTTCATTTATAAACTGTATTATCAATTAACTCTGATTAGCTGCCATAAAGAAGTTGGCTTCTGATGGAAAAGCTGGATTTTACTAACCTCCAATTGTCCCTTAATAAGGTGCATGTTGTATTCATCAGCTGACATCTGAAGGATGCAATCTGTCACATGGGGAAAGTGTGTGAACTGTTAATGTGGCCAACTGAGAATCTGTGTTAACTTCTTGAAAACACACTGTTATTCTTTGGGAAAAAAAGGTAAAATGTGATTTACATGTTCAGTTGTGTGGAATCTAAAAATTCATGGGGCTATTAATCAGTTGATCAGTCAGAAATAAAAATTCAATGAGACAAACATATGTTCTACTGAACTCCACAAAACTATTTTTAATTCCCACACTGATCCTACATCATTTATTCTGCATTTAAAGAAATCTCAGATGGCTTCTCTGTATGATATTCTAAGTTTCTTCATTTGTGTATTATTACTAAATGCATATAATAGGAAAGAGTCAAAAGATTTTTTATTTTATTACTTGTATTATGTTCTGTGTATTGTTCAATATGTTTTATGTGTCTCCTGAATAGTCAGTTTTTGCTTTGTTAATATTTGTGACTGTTAGAACATCCTTTCTTTTCATTCATAATTTTTAATATGCTTGTGTATTTTAATAATAGCTGGCAATGGTATACACATACGAACACATGCTCTTCCATATCCTAATGATACCTTCTTGAAATAAACAATTCATAGGTTTAAACAAGATAAGAAACTCTTTTGAGAATTAGTATAATGTCTTTTTTTTTTTAACCCAAGAAAAGCCAACAAATAGCCTATCTGAATCTATATTAAGCTTACCTAAAGAATTGGTAGCAGTTAAAGTAAATCTTATATCATGCCACTTAGCAGTTTACTCACTTAACTCTCAGGGTCTTGTCTAGTGTTTCCTGTATTATAAAACTATTGTTCATATTATAGTTTTTGTGTATTTGTTATCATAATGATACTTTGAAACTGTTGAGCAGAAATTGTCCTTTTTAAAACTCAAAGAATTTTAAAGTATTATTCTTTATTAAAAATGTTCCTATGAGGTATAAAAAAACAAATGTTACTCTGATTCTGTTTTGAATGGAAAAAGCGAGTTGATAGATGGTTTTATAAAACATAGTAGCAGGACTTATTTTAACAAGGAATAAGAATAACCCAGTTTTAGTAAGTAACAAGTAAGTGGCAAGAAATGGTTAACATGTCATCCAGAAAGGGTTAATGTACCTATTTCACATCAAAGTCCAGGAAGTGAGCTGATGGTAAATATAACTTGACTTTGTGTTCCATTGCCATTTAAATAAGAACAATCATATTAAATATATACTTATAGCACAAGGTACATTTCTAGGTTACACATCTGAAGTCATTAAGCTCTATGTGAGACTCACATAATTTCAATGGGCCTTTTGGAAGTAAATGAATTGTGTTCTAATCCCTTATTGAATAATGTATCAATTTCATTAGTCATATATTTTTTCATATTAATGGAAGACTACTGCTAAACAACTCCAAAGTATAGTAAGACAATCTTACCAATATTCCATTAGCTAAAGGAATATGGATATTTTGAAACTCAATTGGTTTTAGAAAACATATAAGTTTTGATTAAGGATAAGAATAAATTGGGCACTATGTTTAGTTTACGTTATATATATACTTTTATTTTTATTATTTTTTTAAGAGATGGTGTTGTGCTATGTTGCCCACTCCGGTCTCGAACTCATGGCCTCAAGCAATTCTTCCACTTCTGCCTCCCAAAGTGCTAGGATTATAGGCATGAGCCACCATGCCTGGCCTAGTTTAAGTTAAATATTTTCAGTAATATATCTTAAAGTAAAGTATTTGCTTTAAATACATTCCATACTTCTTTTTAAACAACTATAACTGTATATATGCATATTGAACAATTTGTTGAATTCTAACTTTTGTTAATGCATATCTCATATATTTATAAAGTATGTAAAGGCTAAACTTAACATATACAAAAACCTCACGTTTTTAAAGAAAATAAATGTACAAAACCAAAAGTATGTTCTTTTCTTCATTCCTTAGTTCTTCAAGTGGATTCCTCATATTCCAAAATATATTCCTCATATTCCAAAATATACTGGCTCAAAATATGTTGCTTTCTTCTCAGTCACTATTTTGTACGTAATGATACCCAATTTTCCTATTTTATCTACCTTGAAATCTACTGTATTCTATAATTTTTATTTTTGCCCCATGATATCCATTTTTATTTGTTATCTATTATTTCATTATTTTCTAAATATTCATTTTTGCCTCTGCATGGCAATTCACCTTCAAAACACCTGTCAGATTACCCTTCTAGAACATGATTTGATTGTTCTCTCTTACTACTAGATACTTTTTAAATGCCCACGAACAAAAAAGATCAGGTCTTCTCTATGTAATAAAGTCTTAGAATCTGACTTCACTTCTTTTTCTTATTTATCTCTTTTAATACACTTTACTTCTCACAGTCTTTCATCCAGCCAAATTATAGTGCTCACCATTTCCTAAACACGGCTTGCATTTTCCTTTTATTTCTCCCACCTGAATTCAGTCCAGAAGGCATTTATTGGGAATTTGGACTGTGACAGTTTCTATGCCAGGAAACAAAACAGATTAGTATTCATCTTGTGTTTTGTGAAGCGTTCTCAAAGCCTAATGGTGGAAAGACACATGAAAGTCATTTTAACAAAAATATGAAAAAAGAGTCGTAAGTTCAAAATGACAAAGAGGTAATCTGCCCACCACCCACACCAACTTTTAGCTAAAGATTTATTTTCCAAATGTCAAGCTTCCGTGAAGCATTGTACGGTTTACCGGCTTACTCACAAGTGTTCTCTCTTGCTCAGAATTACATAACCCATCGACTTCACCTTCACCTAGACTTCTCAGACACTTTCTTGCATTTCAGTGGTTTGTAAGCAGGTAGAATACCTCCTGCTATATTGTAAAAATCTTCAGGAGAAGACCTAGTCCACTAAAATGTAAACTCTAAATAGCAGCAGCACTTAACCACTAGTAATGGACATTCAATAAAAATTTTCATCAGTGAATAAAATGATCATGCAACATATCTGCAATTTTCATGAAATCTAACAAGTATATGGCATAAAATTAGGCTAAATCAATATTCATTGAAGAAATAAGCAGGAAGTGGCATCTTATTTACCTTTATATTCTTTGCAATAGTGTGCTGGTAAATGCTTAACAACTGTCATTTATCCCCTCACACAACCCCACTCCACACACAGAAATTTATTTTCAGCATTTGCCAATTTATTTGGTGTAAATATTCCTAGTATGGCAGATTTCAAGATGAATTGTGATGCTACTTATTGCAGACTTGAGAAGAGAGGGGAAAAACTTTCAAGAGCTAGTGCAGGCCAAATCTTGCTAGCATAATTTCTATCATAATAAACCATCAGTGATTATTTAATGACTAAATTAATGAAAGTTTTAGGCATGTGGCTGAACTTTAAATAAAATTATTTACTACATAAATAAAATGTAAAATATTTTCAAAATTGAATTAAAAGTTCAGAGGTATTAGATAATAAATTATATGTGGACCTTATATAGCAATTAAACATAATTTTACTACATACTAGAGTTATTTTAATAATTTGATACAATTTAAAAAATTTTTAATAGTTTTGACTAGGTATTTTAATTCAAAATTAATTTAATTTTGTTTTTTCTTGGTGAATGACCCAACTGATCATTGATCTTTTCAAATTTTGAAATAACTCATTGTTTCAAAAATAACACCAAATGATGGTTTGTTAATTACTTCAGGGAAATTCTCTCTTCTGATTTCAGATTTAAAAGAGCTTGGTAAACAGCAGATCAGGGAAAACTTATTGTAGTATAATACTGGCTTTGATCTTGACTTTGTGAGAAATTGGTGCTTTCTAGTGGACAATAGCCGTAGGGAACTTTATCATACATATTATGACCACCTACATCCCTAAGCACAAGTCTTCATGGATAATAAGGTTACTTTGTACCTTATTTCTCTTCCCAAATACTGGATTTGACTTGAAAAGAAAGCCATAGTTGGAATTATGTTTGGCTTAGGATGAAAGAAACCCAATTATCCAGCTTAAATAAATTGCTCTCTCACATAACAAAGTCTGGAAGTAAGCCATGCAGGACAGTTCCATGATGCCAAAAGAGATGGAGATTCTTCCGTCTTCCTACTCACAAGCTGCTACCACACATTGGTCAGAGTCTAAAATAAAGAAAGAAAAGTAGAGGTCATCAGGCCTATGCCAGGATGCTTTGTCCCTTTATTATTATTATTACTTTTTAAAAACATAGTGACTGTTATGACACTCCCACAAATCAATATCTAATGACATCTTATTGCCCCATGGCAACCATCATAGAGGCAAAGGAGCCAAGGAAACTGAACACATTTCTATTCGAAACCAAATTAGGATTATATTAATAAGGGCAGAGGGCAAAAACGATATTGGGCAAGAAACTGCACTGTTTGTCACATGAGTCATACTGATATCTTTGCTGTAGTGTGAATAAAGAAATTGCAATCTCATTGTACTTAATATACCAATGATAAATTTACTCAATTCTATTACCTACTGTGTCATTTGTTGAGAAAGACTGAATATCTCTGACATGTGGGCCATACAACATTTTATTAAGTCAGTAATTAATTCGGCTCATACTGTATTCATGGCACTGGAATAGTTGCTATTGAGAATGCTGAAAATTATAACACTGCTCCTTGACCTGGACTGACATCACTAAACAGGACAAATTTCACCCACTTTATAGAGTACATAGCTAAGAGTCAGTATCCTTAAGCTCTGACATGCTCTTTTCATTAAAGATAACTGCCATGTGTCTATTTTAAAATCTTCTATCACTTTTCCATTGGTAAGATATAGTTAGGAGGGTCAAAATAATACATTTTATGACAAACACTTGGAATTTCCATTTGCAGGCAAAAACTTCCCTGGATCTGAGAGAAAACAGGTAAGCATAAAGAGTGTATTGCGCTCACTTCTGAACTAGGATTGAGAACAAATGGGTCAGAGACAAATCTGTTCATCTTGTTCATATTAGTCTCTATGAAAATTTAATTACATAAGCACTTGATTTATATTATTATAGATTACTTATTTGGCTTATTTCTGTATGCAGTGTTGAGAGAGGCAGCTACAGATGCAAGAAAAACAGAAATCTTTCCAAATTTCCCGGGGAGAAGGAAAGCAAGAAAGTGAAAGGGTGAAACCGAGAATAGGAGTTCCAAGTCAGAATAATATGTGGATCTAGTCTTGATCTTGCTGCCTGTCACTTTTGTGATCATAAGCAAGTCATTCAAATTGTCAGAGTCTGACATCCTTTTTAAATACATTACAGACTCAAATACCATAAGAACAAAGTTTCATACTTGCTTTACAAATATTCCATAATACCACAAGAGATGTAACTAGGCAAGTCATAGTAAATTGTCAAATGAAAGAAAGAGATTCAATTTTATTCCTAAAAAAGATTTGGAGTACACTGTAAGCTGGTGTGGTTAGAAAAGTCTAAGGTGAACATTTAAATCTACATATAAATTTAGAGAGCTAGAAAAAATCAAATATCAGATTTCAGGCTGTGACAATGGCACAGTCATCATGTTATGTAAATATTATTAATAAAAATGACAATTTTAGAAATGAGGTTTTATTGTATATTTATTGTAATACTTGGGATAAATTTAAAAAACAACTTGAAAATCACATTAAATGGACTTTACTTGAAGGTAATGAGAAAGCCTTAAATATTCTAGAGAAAGTTATTGACATAATGAAATATTATTTATTTTCCTCTGCCTAGGATGGGCTTTATTTCTTCTAGTAACCGTCCGTCAAACTGGCCACCACATTAGCAGTAATCATTTTATTTAGAAAATTCATTCTAGAAGAACTGAATTAAACAAACAAGCAAATAGACAAGCAAACAAAACCCCCCTGCAATTTTTGACTTTTAAGCACAAAAGGCTTATTTTAGGTATCAAAATGGAAAGGAATGACAAAATATGAGAATAGATTATCAATAATAATGAAATATTTTTATTTCTGAAAACAACATGACTAGAAGTAGGAGAACTGAAAGGAAGCAAGAGTATTAGATTCTGTTCCTGGGCTTTGTGCCATTCCCGCTCCTTGGTTTCAGTGGAGGTAAGAGGAAGAAATGAATCCTCTTTATTGAGCAGAAGGCAAAACAGAATTGTGATTAATTTCTATAGAATTGCTGGTATAGATACAGCAAGATGTATAGTAGCACAGTTTAAATGGGTTCAGTGACAACCTTGATTGTAAAAGCCTTGACAGTTTTGAGAAGATCTCATCGGTTTTGTTAGAATATTCCTCAATTTGTGCTTGACTGATGTTTTCCTTATGATTATACTGAGGTAATGCATTTATTTTAGAGGCGAGATTATAAAAGTAAATAAATGCCAATCTCATGACATCATACCAAGGGCATGTACTATCAACATGACATATCATAGTATTAACTTTGATCACCTGGCTGAGGTAGTGTGTGTCACGTTTCTCCACTATAAAGCCACATATTCTCCCCTTTCCATACTTTTCTGAAGGAAGTCACCAGTGCAAACCACCCTTAAAAGGTTACATGAAATGCTTTGTTTATCAATGGAAAACATAATGTATTTTGAGATTTGTCATAATGTACTTTAAAGTAGTGAGAGAACAAAAGTGATTACTTAAAAAATTAAGAATTGGCCGGGAGCAGTGGCTCACGCCTGTAATCCCAGCACTTTGAGAGGCCGAGGCAGTCGGATAAGGAGATCGAGACCATCCTGGCTAATATGGTGAAACCCTGTCTCTACTAAAAATGGAAAAAATTAGCCGGGCGGGGTGGCGGGCGCCTGTAGTCCCAGCTACTCGGGAGGCTGAGGCAGCAGAATAGCTTGAACCCCAGGAGGTGGAGGTTGCAGTGAGCCGAGATCACGCCACTGCACTCCAGCCTGGGCAACAGAGTGAGACTCCGTATCAAAAAAAAAAAAAAAAAGAAAGAAAGAAAGAAAGAAAGAAAGAAAAGAAAAGAAAGAAAATTGAACCAACTCTAAATGTATTCCTACCACTTTTCAGGGAAAAAGTAGTTTATACACCAACAAGGCATATATATATTTTTTTAAGTTTAAATTTTTATATATATAAACACACACACACAAACACATATAGCTTATATATTGCAGAATTTTTAAGTTTGTTTCAGCCTTATTGTCTGGCTTATGTCATGAATTAAAGAAGGCTGGGGAAATAATTGTGAATTGAATATATATTAAAATCTACATTTATTTAAAATGGTGCTACTCTGAGTATAGATCCCTGTCTTGGAATTGTCATGATATTTTTTTGTTATTTATAAAAAGATAAATGAAGAGAGCAAGGCATTGTGCATGAAAATAACTTCATCAAGGAAAGAATAGATATACTTGAATCTAATGCTTGGACTGACACGTCTGCCCAAACAAAACACCTGAAATGTAGGCCAATTTTAAAAAGTTAAAATGAATTATGAAATATCTAGGAAGTATCTTCAGGCAATAAGGCTATGGAAACCAGATATATGCATTCAACAATTGCATTTTCTGTTGCTCTTCTATAGGGAATTAGGTTCAATGTGGATTGGTGATCAACATCAAAAAGTATGGATGAAATGGTTATTTGTTTATTCATTGGGTACTTCTGTATTTTGGGTTCTTATTATAGAATACAGAGAAGACTGCCAATTTACAGTCAATTTACTGCCAATTGCCTAAATTGAGCTGTTGTTTGGTGTCATGAGGCTAACTTCTGATAATATTTAGTATTATTTAGTATTCCAATATTTAGTATTGGCAATTTTTTTTTAAGTGAACTGTTCTGTAACTACTTGTTTTAGGGAACCTGTCTTCTAGGAAAACTAATTATTGGATCAGTAGTTCATTTAATATTGCCATCAATTTCTCCTTTCACATGCTATCTCTGCACCTTTCTTAATGCATTTCTGTTCACCAAATCCACAACCCCCATTCACTGCCCCTTACATTTAACTCTCTTTCTGCTAAGTAAATATCTGAATTCAGCTATTCAGCTGCTGTTTCTCTTGGTGGCATTCCAACAGACAGAAAAGATAACATAGGGATTAAAAATGCCACAACAAGCCACACGAGAACAGTAAATGCTTCATTTCAATTTTAGCTCCTTTTTTCCTTTTATTACTACAAAATTTGGACAAAAAAGGTGACACCTTCCAGAAAGGAAGTTTCTTACATCAGTGCCTATTTTAAAAGAACACATGTCCTGGAAACTAAATTAAGCACCATTTACCAATTAATTCTTACTGAGTTCATTGTGAGCTCTATTACTCTCTTATTTAGATCCTGATTTTCTTATGTGAACACAGAAACATACAAATGAAAAATGTTCACGTATGTGTAAACTGAGTTCCCGCTCTCCTTTTTTTCCACATTGCTAAGATTTTGCTTAGCCCTCAGGCAAATTTCTGCTTTTTATATGACCCAATTTAATTTCTTTAGAATTCATGGCCTACCTGACCTATTACAAACAGACCTTGAATTTTATGAGGCGAAGTGAATAATTAAGAGCTCAGCTGCTTTCAATAAATTAGGATCAAATTGAATTTTTATAATCTGCTATTATTTTATATTAGTTTTATTTTAATAATCATGGCATCTGTATAATGACTCTAGCACTTGTTATACATTTTATGCTATTTTATAACTATCACACAATATTAAAATATTATAACTAAAATATATTTAAATATAAATTCAAACATTTAAAACATTAATAATTATACTGCGGGAAATAAACATAGAAATGTTTCTGTATAACTTTAAAATATAAAGTTAGCAATTAACAAGTGATGCCCTAAAATCTACAAACCCCCAAATAAAGTATATTTTAGTGTTAAATTTATTTATTCAGTTAATAAATTTTGTACCAACCTTTTAAACAATCAACTGTATTATTCATTGAAGCAATATTGAGAGCAACATTTTTGGAGTAAATATTTTTTTCTTTTTAGAACTTACAGTAAAATCTGAAGAAATTCAGGCTATCAACTTAATAACTTTAAAAAAATACATGCAATGTTTTTGCACAGTTATTTGAAGCTTTGGGGTAAAGGTGCTATAATTATTGCTTATCATTCAATACAATTACTTCTTTAATGTTAAGAGAATCACAAAATTTGGGGATGGTTAAAAATAAAGGATCCAAGACACATTTTTAAATTTATAATAAATTCATAATTGTACATATATACGGGGTAGTGAGTGAGATTTCAATACATGTATACAATGTGCAATGATCAAATCATGGTACTTAGCATATTTATCACCTCAAACACTTACCACTTCTTTATGTTGGGAACATACAAAATCCTCTCTTCTAGCTATTTAAAAATACACAATAAATTATTTTTAACTATAATCACCCTACACAGTTACAGAACATTAAAATGTATTTCCCCTATCTAACTGTAATTTTGTATCCATGATCAATCTCTCCCTATCCTCCCCTCACCATCTTCCCCAGACTCTAATATCCACAATTCTACTCTGTACTTTTGTGAGCTCAACATTTGTAGCTCTCATATTTGAATAAGAACAGGTGGTGTTTATCTTTCTGTGCCTTACTTATTCACCATAATGTCCTCCAGGTTCATCCACACTGCCTAAAATGACAGAATTTTGTTATTTTCTATGGCTAAATAGTATTCCATTGTGTATATATACCACATTTTCTTTACCCACTTATCTTTTGATGAAAACTTAGGTTGATTTTATAGCTTGGTTGTTGTGAATAGTGCTGTTATAAACATGTGGTTGCAGAGATATCTTTGCCAAACTAATTTCCTTTCCTTTAGATAAATGCCCATTGGGGTAATGCTGGATCATTTGGTAGTTCTATTTTTGGTATTTTGAACTAGCCCCATACTGTTTTCCCTAATGGCTGTACTGATTTATATTTCTACCAACAGTGTATAAAAGTTCCCTTTTCTCCAGCATTTGTATTTTTTTCTCTTTTTGGTAATAACCATTCTAACTGGAAGGAGATAATATCTCATTGTAGTTTTGATTTTAATTTCCTTGATGATTAGTGATGTTAAGCAATTTTTCTTATGGTTTTTGAACATTCGTATATTGTCTTTTGAGAAATGTCTGTTCAGATTATTTGCCCATTTTAATCAGATTGTGTGTGTGTGTGTGTGTGTGTGTGTGTGTGTGTGTGTGTGTGTGTGTGTTGTCACTGAGTTGTTTGAGTTCCTTTCCTTATATATTCTGGATATTAATGATTTGCTAGATGAATAGTTTGCAGATATTTTATCCCATTCTACAGGTCATCTCTTCACTCTGTTGGTTGTTTTCTTTGATGTAGAGAAACGTTTTAGTTTGATATAATTTCACTTGTCTGTTTTCTATTTTATTGCCTGTGGTTTTGAAGTCCTACCCATAAAATATTTGTCCCAAACAAGGCCTTGAATCATTTCCCCTATGCTTTCTTCTCGTAGTTTTATAGTTTTAGGTGTTACATTTTAGTCTTTAATCCATTTTGAGTTGATTTTTGTATCTGGTGAGTGGATTGAGCCTAGTTTGATTCTTCTGAATATGGATATCTAGTTTCCCCAGAATCATTTATTGAAGAGGGTATCCTTTCCTCAGTACATGTTCTTCGTGCTTTTGTAGAAAAATCTATTGGCTATAGATATGAAAATTTATTTCTGGATTCTCTATTCTCTTCCATTGTTTTTTTTTTTTTTTTTTTTTTTTTTTTTTTTTTGGCAGAATCTCACTCTGTCGCCCAGGCTGGAGTGCAGTGGCATGATCTCTGCTCACTGCAACCTCCGCCTCCCAGGATGTGTCTGTTTTTATAATAGTACCAAGCTGGTTTGTTTATAGTAGGTTTGTAGTATACATTTGAAGACAGGTTGTGTGATACGTTCAGTTTTGTTGATTTTGCTCAAGACTGCTTTGGCTATTTGGAGTTTATTTTGGTTCCATATGAACTGGGATTGTTGTTTCTATTTCTGTGAAGAATTTCATTGGTATTTTGATAGAGATTGCATTGAATGTATAGGTCTCTTTGGGTAATATATTCACTTTAGCAATATTAATTACTCTAATTAATGGATATAAAATACCTTTCCAATATTTTGAGTCATCTTCAATTTTTCAATCTATGTTTTGCAGTTATTATTGTAGAGATCTTTAACACTATTGGTTAAATTTATTCCTAGGTATTTTATTTTTGATACCTATTATAAATAGGATTGCATTATTGATTTTTTTTCTGCTAGCTTATTGTTGGCATATAGAAACACTATTGATTATTGCATGTTGATTTTGTATGTGGTAACTTTACTGAGTTTATTTATCAGTTCTAATAGTATATTTGGTGGAGTCTTTGGGTTTTTCTATATATATGATGATGTCATCTGCAAAGAAGGACAACTTGACTTCTCCTTCTCCAATTTGGGAATCCTTTATTTCTTTCCCTTGCCTAATTGGTTTGGCTAAGATAAAAGAATGGCAAAAGTGGGCACCTCGTCTTGTTCCAGTTCTCAGATAAATAGCTTTCGGCTTATCCCCATTTAGTATAATATGGAGTTAGCAGTGGGTTTGTCATATATAGTGCATTGAGGTAAACTCCTTCTAAACCTAATTTCTTGAGAGTTTTTATCATGTAGAGGTGTTGAAATTTATCCAGACTTTTTTTCTGTAACCATTAAGGTAATCCTATGGTTTTGGTTTTTCATTCTGTTGATGTAATATATAACATTTGTTAATTTGCATATGATGAACCATTCTTGCATCTCTGGGATGAATCCCAATTGATCATGTTGTATATTTCTGTTGTGCTGTGGGAGTCTATTTGTCAGTGTTTTGTTGAGAATTTTTGCATCTATATTTATCAAGGATATTGGCTTGTAGTTTTTCTTTTAGTTGTGTCCTTGTCAGGAATTCCCATAATCCCAGCCTTATAGAAAAATGTAGGAAGAATTCCCGCCTCTCTACTTTTTTAAAATACTTTTAGAAAAAAATGGTGTTAGTTATTTTTTAAAAGTTTGGTAGAATTGAGTGATGAAGCCACCCAGTCTTGGGCTTTACTTTATTGGGAAACATTTTATCACTGACTCTATCATTTTACTCATTATTGGTCTGTTCATATTTTTTATGTATTGATGATTTAATCTTGGTAGGTTATATGTATCCAATCATTTATTCATTTCCTCTAGTTTTCCAATTTATTGGCATATACTTTTTCATAATAGTCTCTAATGATCCTATGTATTTTGACTGGTGTCAGTTGAATCCCCTTTTTTGTTTCTAATTTTATTTATTCAGGTAGTCTATTTTTTTTCTTAGCTAGGCTATATAATGCCTTGTTGATTTTGCTTATATTTTCAAAAAAATACCTTTTAATTTTGTTGCTTTTTGTATTTTTTAGCATCTATTTTGTATAGTTTTACTCTGATCTTTACTATGTATTCCACTATTCTGAATTTGTTTTATTCTTGCTTTATAATTTCCTTGAGATATTTATATCACTGGGTTATTTATTTGAAATCCTTTTACTTTATTGATGTAGGTTTTATTGCTATAAACTCTTTTCTTAATACTGCTTTTTATTTATCCTATAAGGTATAATAACTTATTTTTCTATTTTTATGCGTTTCAAATTTTTAATCTTTTTTTCAATTTCTTTGTTGACCAATTGGTCATTTAGTAGCATCTTGTTAAATTCCTATGTATTTGAACAGTTTTTAAAATTCCTCTCATTATCAATTTCTAGTTTTATCCCATTGTAGTCTGATAAGATACTTGATTTGATTTTAATTTTGAAATTTTTTTAGACTAGCTTTGTGTTCTAACATATTGTCTATCCTGAAGGATGTTCCATGTGCTGATGAGAAGAATGTTTATTCTGCAGTTGTTCAATGAAGGGTTCTATAAATATCTATTGAGTCAATTTTGTCTATAGTGCAGTATAAGTTTGATATTTCTTTGTTGATTTTCTATCTAGATGACCTGTCCAATGCTGGAGAGTAAAGTATTGAAGTCACAACTATTATTATACTTGAGTTTCTCTCTCCTTTTAGCTCTAATAATATTTGTTTTAAATATCTGAGTGGTTTGATGTTGGGTAAATATGTTAATACATTTAGAACTGTGATATCCTCTTGCCAAATTGATCCCTTTATCATTGTAATAACCTCCTTTGTGTCTTTGTATGAGATCTTACTTAAAATCTATTTTATCTTCTGTAAGTATAAGTAGTCTTATTTGCTTTTGGTTTCATGAAATATATTTTTTCTACACCTTCACTTTCAGTCTCTGTGTCTTTACAGGTGAAGGGATATTTTTAGGCAGCATACAGTTGGGTAATTTTATTTTTTAAATCATTCATCTGTTCTATATTTTTATTGGAAAATTTAAACCATTTAAATTCAATGTTGTTAGTGATAGGTGAAGACTTACTTCTGTCATTTTGTAGTTGTTTTTTGATTGTTTCATATATCATTTCCTCCTCTACTATTGTTTATTTTTTGTGATTTGGTAGTTTTCTGTAGTAGTAATGTTTGAATCCTTTTGATTTCTCATTTGTCTATCTACTCTACCAATGAGTTTTATACTTTTGTGTATTTTTATGATGGTAGATATTGTAGATCTTCCCCTAAGCATTTCTTGTAGGTGTGGTCTAGTAGCAATGAATGTCCTCAGTTTTTGCCTGTCTGGCAAGGACTATTTATCCTTCATTTCTGAAGGATTGCTTGGCTTGGTATAATATTCTTGTCTGGCACGTTACTTTTTGTTTCAGCAGTTTGACTATATCATCCCATTCTTTTCTGGGCTATAAGGGGTGTGCTGAGAAATCTGCTGTTAGTCTGATGGAATTTTTCTTATTTGTGACTTGATGCTTGCCTTTTACTGTTGTTTGGATTCCCTGTCTTTGATATTTGGCAGTTTGACTACAATGTGCATCAAAGATAACTTTTTGGGTTGAATCTATTTGGGAATTTTTGAGCTTCGTGCATCTGAATTTCAATATCTCTCCCCAGACATGGAGAGTTTTTAGTTATTATTTTATTAAACAGGTTTTCTATGTTTTTTCCCATCCTTTCTCCTTTGGTATTCCCACAATGTGAATATTTGTTTGCTTAATCATTTTCCACATGTCAATAGGCTTTTTGCTATTCTTCTGTGCTCATTATTTTTGTCTGACTGTATTACTGAAAGACTTGTCTTCAAGCTCAGAAATTATTTCTTCTTCATGATCTGGTATACTGTTGAAGCTCCCAGTTGTATTTTTTTTTTTTATTCCAGTCTTTGAATTCTTCAGGTCCAAGATTTCTGTTTGATTCTTTTTTATATCTGTTTCTTTGTTACGTTTCTCATTCAGATCATGAATTGTTTTCTTTATTTTGAATTGTCTGTTTGTGTTCTGTTACATCTTGGTTAGTTTTCTTAAGATCATTATTTTGAATTCCTTTTCAGGCATTTCACATATTCCCTTCTGTTTGGAGACCTACGATTGAAATATTTTGTGCTCCTTTAGAAGTGTCATGTTCTTTGCTTTTGCATGTTTCTTCTATCCCCCTGCATTCATATCTGCACATCTTGTGGAACTGTTTTTCTTTCAATTTTATGAAGTAGCTTTCAAACTGAAGAAAGTTTACAGAACTTTCTTCTGTAGATTTGTCCTATACTGTAATTTGGGTATGGTGCTTCGGCTTCAGTTCTGGGTAGAAGAAGTAGGGTAGTTTCTATGTGATTTCATTGGCTGTAAGCCACATCAGCGGTGTCTGCAAGTGCCTTAGTGCCCTAAGTTAGGGTTATTGTGGAGGCTGCGATGTGGCTTCTCTTAAGGCTGGGATGTCTGGCAGACCAGTCCTTGGGCCCCAAGAGAGAATGAAAGCATGCAACCGGTGGCTCTATTGCTGTAGGCAATAGGGTTGCAGTTAATGGAGGTACCTGGGTAGGCCATTACTTGGGCCCCTAGGGTGTATGTGCATAAGCTCCTTCTGTAATAAGGAGAGTTTCCTTGCTGTGAAGGATCTTCTGCTTCCCATGGTGTGGGCTCAGATTCCAGGGACACAGCTGCTCCACTGGGTCCAGCTGGTGTCACAACACTACAGGCCTCTAGGTGGATGTGGTAGGATGATGGTAGAGCCCCAGGGATGTGGAGATGCAGGGCAGAATGCACTTTTGTGGTGACTTCATTCTCAAAATGGCATTGTGTAACAGCAGTCACAGTGTGGGGACCCACTATGAATTTCGTATCAGGAATAATGCAGTTGAGTGTACTTAAGCAGTTTCCTATACTGGACTCAAGGGCTGTGAGTGCTGTAGGGCTCTCCTGTAACTAGGATTTTAAGGTCCATGGTGGAAATATGAACTGCTAGGTATCTTCCATTTACTTTTTTCTTGCAATGAAGAGTCTCTCTTGGTTCTGAGCTGATTCTGGCCAGGTAATTTACTTCCCTCTCTCTCGTCATCCCAAGTTTTAATGCCTCAAAAAGTCTTCTTTACTTTCTTGCTGAATTTCAGCATTCTCTCTTAGATACTATATTCAATGTGTTGTTATTTGTTGTTTTCTTCCTTTTTTTTTGTGGAGAAGGCAAGTGCTGGCCACTTCAAATCAGCCATTTTGAACAGATAAATTTCTGTTAAGATTGAATAAATTTTGAAGCCAGACAGATTTTCTAATCATCTTATATGGTAGGTTAGAAAAACGGAAACCAGGTCAGGGAGCGGTGGCTCATACCTGTAATCCCAGCACTTTGGGAGGCCAAGGTGGATGGATCATCTGAGGTCAGGAGTTTGAGACCAGCCTGGCCAACATGGTGAAACCCAATATCTACTAAAAATACAAAAAATTAGCCGGGCATGGTGGTGGGCACCTGTAATCCCAGCTACTTGGAAAGTGGAGGCAGGAGAATCACTTGAACCCGGGAGGCAGAAGTTGCAGTGAGCCGAGGTCTCACCATTGCACTCTAGCCTGGGCAACAAGAACGAGACTCCATCTAAAAAAATAAACAAATAAACAAATAAAAACTAAAAAAGAAAATGTAAGTCAAAAAGAGTACATTATTATTATTTTTAATGCAGAGATGTATAATGAAAGATTACATTAAACATTAAACATACTTTCTAAAGCCCACATAGACATATATACACAAAACAGACATACAAAGAATACTCAGAGACAAATGTGTTAAAAGACAATATAACTTTGGGTGCAAGTTCTTCCAAGGGACTAAGAGAATAAGAACCAATCTGAATTGCAACTAGAATTTTACAAAGAATTTACAATAAGATTATCCTTTGAGAATTAAACAGGAACATCAAGACATAATCAACCTGGACAGGGATGGACTATCTGTCTTAGAAAGACAAAGATCCTCTTAGAAGAGAAAGCTTTTAATGAATCCTGATTGCATAAATTTACACATCCAATAAAATATCAATATCATTAGAAGGAAGGTAGCTTAAGCATGAGAAATAAAATAAGCAGTGTTCCAGTATCAAATATAATGACTGCCCATCCAAGGACAATCCAACAAAATGGTTGCTATGGGCCAAAGACTTTCTCTGCCCACTTGTAACAATATAGCTTAACCTAATTTTATCAATTATTCAAATATTATATATAATTCTCTGCTTTTGACGCCATATTCACTAAAGTACCTTCTGACGAATCTATGTTTTCCCTTTGAAGCTCCTGTAGAACAAAATATGCAGCCCAAGGACTTAAGTCCTCTATATATTAACCTTGCCTATTATATTTCTAATCATAAATCAACAGCAAATTGGTTGAATTTGACAATCTGCGTAATTTATCCAAAGGGAAATGTGTTGGTCAGAAGACTCAAATATCTAATACCCCAACAATTAAAATGTATGCTATAAAATGACATAGATGTAATTGTTTAACAACAGAATTGTGGGCTTAATTAATATGAATTAATTGTATGCTGACCAATCCGGATTTGGAGTTTAAAGAAACAGGGCAGATTTTGGATCACCTCAGAAATTCATCACCTGAGGAATCTGAGGTGAGATTAAGATAGCTCCAGTTTCCCCAGTAACACCAAATTAATGGTAGGGAATATCCGTACTACTTGAAATATCTGCAACTTACTTTACCCTAAATTATAAGATAAAGCAGTTATGGTTCTTATTTTATATAGGAGAAAACTGAGGCTTAGTGAAGTTACATGAGTTTTTTTTCAAATTGACACAATTAATAAAAGGATCTAGAATTCAAACCACATTTTTCTAGGTAGAGATTGCAAACTCAAATAACTACAAAGGTAATAAGCAGGTAAAGAAGGCGTACTAAGGGCTCCTTAAACTTGTTATAGCAGTATAGGTTACCAGTTTCTTATGAAAAGCCAAATATCCTGATTCTATGTAAATTCTCCTTATTTTGAAGTGTTATTCAATTCAAAAATAAATTTTGGAAACTAGAGGTCAAATAAAATTCTTATATTTGAGCCAATTTGGGCCATGATACATCAATTTGTGGCCTCTGGGCCAAAGTGAGTGCTTCCACCATCCATAGTCAAATAAGATTTTTCAAATTCATAGGAAAATAATTATTATTCTGAAATAATACTTTCTGATAAGAACTTAAGAGTGTTAATATTTGATCGTACTTAGTGCTGGTATATAAGATTTAGAGGCCAGAAAAATAAGTGTTATTGCTGTTATTATACAAAATATGTAAAAGTATATCCTACCTCTTTTAAACAAGGATTCAGATGTACCTGAAGACAAAGCTATAATTTTCCTAATGAAATAGTTATCTCTACAAGTGTTTGAAGATTTTTTCTCTAAATTCTTTAGAATAAGGCAGGACTGGAACTTAGACTTGAGACCTTTTTAGCAATTGCTAACAAGACAGAATCATACATTAAAACATGTATAATTTGTGGTATAGATGATTGTATATAAGTAGACTGCTTTGAAAATATAAATCATTCTCATTCAAGAGTGTGTGCTCACCAATCTCAGTTCACCTTTGGTTTGCCTTTCCTAATTCTAAAGTCAAAGAACCTCTGGACTTGGAGAATCCAATTAAAAACTGTAGTTATACCAAAGGAAACTCTTGCTGTGTATAATGATGTCTTAGCTACACTAAGTTTTGTCTAGATGTTTATTCATGCATGTTCTTGCTCTCTCTGACATGTGAAGTAGGGAAATTTGTTTCCTTTAATAATGTTGCATTTTACTCCACAATATGTATTTAAAGAGACCCATCTCTTTATATTAAAAAAAGAATATGCCCCTTATAAAATAGTTTCTTTGGAAACTAGAGTATGGTTTTATATACTGAAACATTTTATATCATCAACATAATATAACTTAAAATTTGTCAATGGTTGTTCCAGGTTTTGTTCAAAGGGAGAACATTTCCCAAATGATTACTTTGAAATAAAATGCTAAAGTTATGAGAAGAATATGTCAGTCTGTGAGGGTCATGTTCAAAAATATCCTGAAATTAATAAATACCAAATGTTTTCATGATGTTGAAGGTTAGACAAACTAGACATGGATTCAATTCTCTTATTTTGAACGCAGATTTTTGCTCATGACATGAAAATAATTGTTTAGTTTCAGTAAAGTACAGGCAGACAATTGTATCCTGCAGCAGTTTTTCCTGCTGCATTTAGAGCTGAAGAGTGACTAGGAAACCCTTAAGGTAGGTCAGGGCAACTGAATAATTTCAGTTGACAAAAGCAATTGTCTGCTGAGTATAGGCTGGGCAATTTTTCTTCAAGTTTCGCACTTCTTAAGGACCACATCTAAGAGGTAGTGTGAGTCCTATTGTGAACACATTAGATATCCCTCTTCGGATTAACTCTACAGAGGCTTCAAGTAATATAAAAACTAACTCAACAGTACCCTAGATATTACACTTCAAAACACAAATCTTGAGATGCAGTGCCTTTTGTTTGATTATTTCAAAAACAGGACTTCTTATGTTCAAAGAGAGGAACTAAAATCACAGAGAATATTACTACAGAAATGTATAAAGTTGATGTCACAAACACAAATTAGGCAAATTTTGCATATAGGAAACATTTCCATTAATAATTTTCCTAATTAAAATCCCAGTGGTGCTAGTATTTTCTGGTCCAAGGATAACAATAAATTAAACTATTGCTATATCTTTCTTTTTAAAATGTAGATGATGCCATGTTATGAAGTTAATAGCTATTTATTTAGTACCTACTGTGTGCCATTTACCTACAACTGTGCTAAGAAGTTCCATTTTTACAGTGAACTGTATTTGATATACTCTACTGATAGAGTGATATTTCTGGGAACTATCAACAGGGGTCTCATCACTAGGCTTCACCTAAATCACTCTTGATTGATGGCTATCTCCACAGTCCTTAAAGATATAAAGTAGAAGTGCTACAAACCCATTAACAAATTATATCAGCAGGAAGTTGTCCCTAATAACCAATGTTATCATGGAGCTAAACTCTTTTGTGTCAAATTTTATCTATGATAAAATTGTAAATAGCTAGACTATTACTATTTTATCTTAATTAAAAGCATCTAAACTTAAATATATTTTAGTTTTTTTGTCTTACTTCAAAAGAAGATGCCTCTCATTATTATTATTATTATTATTATTATTATTATTATTATTATTATTATTATTATTTTGGGATGGAGTCTCGCTCTGTTTCCCAGGCTGGAGCCTCTCTTTTTATCTCTAACATTAATCCATCATGTTCCAAGTACCACTTTCACATTTTGGACTTCCCTATCTTTTCCCCTCTTTATCCTATATTTTTGGCCCTTTCTTCTCAGCATGTAAATATGTACAGGTTATTCCCATACTTAAGAAACCATTTTCATCTGAATCACCCTCTATTGTTAAATTCTCTTCTTTTCATCCTAGCCAGGTTATTCTGCCTTCTCTTCTATTCTCATCTTAGCCCTTGGTGATCTGCCAACTTTTCTTACCCTAGACAGAAATTGTTCTTGCTAAGATCCCTAAAAGCCTAACTGCAAAATCTAATTGTCACTTATTATTCTTAAATTATTTGAATTTGCAAGATACATAACACAATTGACTACTTCCAGCACTGTTTAAAATGCCTGCCATTTAATGCACTTTAATATATTCTCCTTTACATTTTACCATCTCTTAGAATTTATAAACACAGTCTTTCTTGGTTTAATTGTTCCACTTACTCCTTGCATTATCATTGGTGATTCCTCTTTTCTCCTTAGATATTGGCAGTATTCAGAGTCCTGAACAGTTGTCTCTTCCCTTTATGTATGTGTTTTGTGAACTATCTCATGCACATTCACAGATTATACTACTACTTTGTTATTTAAAAAAAAACTCCAAATCTCTATCCCAACACAGAACATTCTCGATTGTTCAAGGTCCAACTGCCTTCTGAATTCAACTTAAACCAGCTGAATGTGTGAACTTTATTCTTGGTTATAATTGATAGGATGACCATTCTACTTGTTTATCTGCAAAGATATGAGCCACATTGTTTTCTCTCTTTCCCTCTACATTACACATCTAATTAGATACTAGTTCCTGCTCCATGATTTATATGTCATCTCCATTTCATATTCCTGAATCTCCATTTTCAATAGCATTAGTTATTCAGAATCATATCATCCCCAAAGGTGGATGCTCTCATCTTCTTCTAGCTTCACCTTCCTTTGTCTTGTTCTTTTCCTCATTATCAAAGTGGTTTTCAGAGTAATTGTTCTCAAACACAAATACTATACCATATTACTTCTATTTATAAATTATTTGTTCCCCAATGATTATCCCCAGGAAATTTTAGCTTTCATACTTTGGCATCTTAAATCTCATTTTTGCTGGATTTTTCAATACTATTACCACCAATTCACTACTGAGTCCTCGATCCACACTCACACTTATGTACACATCCTATGCCTCAGCAATATCAAATTTCTTTAAAGTCCCCTGTATCAAATGTCTTTGGTGCCTGTGTCACATCTCTGTCCACCTCTGATTTCATCTGCTGCTGTGATAGACAGCAGTCCCATCCAAGTTCTGTTCTCATTGCACTACCACAAATGCATCAAAAGTCATGCAGCATTCTGTCCCATGTCCCTCTCCCCATGCCTCAAGAGCTCCACTGACCCTCGCATGATCACAGCCAGAATGTGGGGATGTTATTCCCCGAGAGCTATCCTCAGCCAATAGTGGACAGAAATGATGAATGAATGTTCCACCCTTCTGACTTTTAGCTTTCAGGGACCACATCTAAGAGGTAGTGTGAGCCCTATTGTGACCAAATTAGATATCCATCTTCAGACTGGATAACTAATAATTAAATATTGGAGCTTTTGTTTCATTGAGGTACTGGCAGAAATGAATCTCTGTTGCCCAGAGCAGGAAACTCAGATGAAATCTTACATTCATTTTTAATCCTTTTTTGTTCCCACTTAGGCCTTCTCCGTTAGTCCTGTTTTCTAGGTTCACTCCCATCCTGCCAAGTAAACCACATGTATTCAAGACATTATCTCAGGTTTTACTTTTGAGGAAAACAAACTAAGCCTCTGCCAAACATATCAGCATTTGCACATACAATTATCCTGATCTAAAATGCCTTTTTCACAAATAATTCACAAGAAAAATTCCCATGTCCACCCAAACTACAGTTTGTGAGCATTTACTGACCCATTTGGCAAATATTATTTTCAAACGTTTTAAAATATCACCATTTTTTATTGTCATTGATAGCAATGGTTAGCTTATTAACATCTCTCCCATAATAGACCATGAGCTCCTTGAGAGTGCAAATCAATCTTAGTTACCTGTGTCCCAATGAGTAGTATAGTAACTAACACATAGTGACACTAAATTACTCTTATTAAATGAATGACATTTGTAATTTAATATAATGGTGTTTGATTGAAGGAGACAAAGCATTTTTTTCCGATAGGAATCACTAATGTAATAAATAATTCTTTAAACTGAATTTTCAGAAAAAAAGATAAAACTTAGCTAAAAATAAAAATATATAAACATATTTAAAATATATAGTTATACATATATATTTTATACATAAAATATATAAAGTTAGCCTACTTTCTAGACTATCATGTATGATATAAAAGGGGCAGCTTTTATTAAGACCCTCAAAAGTTAGAGGGTGGAGGCAGTAGTGCCATATGGAGCCAGAAAGGGCAGAAGAAAATAGCCAAGATGAAGGGTCTAAAGACCAAAGGTTCCAGGTGGATCTAATTACCCTTTACTTAGAACTGAGAAATATGTCTAGTAGCTGTGGAATCCCGAATTGTCAGCGAGTACTCACAAATGAAATGAGAAACTATAAACATAAGAGGAAAAAAATGTGCAAAGCAAAAAATCAATTATACATTCACAGGAATGGAGACAAAGTTTATTGGGATTATTGAACCAGGGAAGACAGCCAGATTGTCAGGAATCAACATACATAGGAAGAACAAAATTAAGACATGCCAAAATTTGAATAAAGTTGTTTTAAAAGACGACAGTTATCAGAGTCATATGAAAAAAAGAGACAGAAGTTGAGTTATTTTTTATTTTGGTTTTTTTTTTTGAAGGCTGAAGGCTACTTTGAAGAAGTAGTCCAGCTCTACCAGCAATATCTCTCTAGTTTTTCGAAGAGCTATTCCCAGCTGGGCTGTGAGGAACATATGAAGTCAGATTTCTCTAAATTAATTTCAAAATAATGGGTACTTATGGAGATTTGATTTTAACACAATCAAGTGATTATATTTTATATTATAGGTTATGATATTTCAAGGATATACCTGCTTCCAAATGAACAGTGGTGGTATTGAGAAAGAGGACAGTTAAAAAAAGTTCTAGAATTACATAGAAATATGCAGGTAAGAGCATAAGTACAGTGGATATTAAAGATTAAAGCAGGGTCAACTAGAATTGATTTAACGGTGGGAGTATATTACATATTGTTCACCCAATGAAGGTTAATATTGATGTACTCAATATTGTATTTAATAACTTTCCCTGTTGTAATGTGACAGTCTCAGTTGGCTAGAAAAAGCACACGAGACAAATTTTAACAGACATAAAAGTAAAACACCATATTCATGTCTTTAAAAGTTAGTTGCAAATCGTTACCAAAATATTAGTAAATTAAGTCCAGCTATATACAAAAGCATTAAACACCATGATCAAACGAGAATTACACAAAAAGTACAAGGTTAATTTAACATCTGTGTGTAAATTAACATAAAATACCATATTACTAGTTTCTTATTGCTATGTAAGGTCACATTTTCATAGGAGCCAGGGATTAGGACATGGACATCTTTGACGGTTATTATTCAACCTACCAAAATCCCTCCTCTGGTGCGAAAGGGAGTCATTCCACACACAAAATATATTCAGCACATCCCAAAGTTTCCATTATATCATCAATTCAAGCCCAAAATCTCACCTAAGACTCACCAACTTAAAAGCCCTGAATTTCATCATCTAAATTAGCTATGGAGGAGGCTAAGGACATAATTCATCCTAAGGAAAAATTTCCCTTCATCTATGCATCTATAAAACTATAAAACAAATTATCTGCTCCCAAAATGCAATGGTGGTGCAGATATAGGGAAATGATAATATTAATAGAAATTCCCACTGAAGAAGGGAGAAAATGAAAGGACAAAGGAAGTCACCTATCTTAAGAGAATTCTAAATCCATCTAGGTAATCTCCATTAAGTTTCAAGGGCTATGAACAATCTTCTGTGGCTTGCTGTAAGCAGCATGAAGAAATCAGGACACACCGTCAACACTTTGCTTTGAAATCTCCTCACATAAACATCCAAGTTCATTGCTTAATAAATTCTACCTTTCACATAATTTGTAAGATGCAATTCAGTTAAGCTTCCTGCCAATATACAATAAGGATTCTCTTTCTTCTAGTCTCCAATAACATGTTCCTCATTTTGCTTTGAGTTCTAACCAAAAGCACCTTTAACATTTATATGTCTACCAAGTTTATTTATTACTTTTTAGGTGTTCTCTATGACAGTAGTCTTTTTTTTTTCTTCCTCACTTCATTCTGTATTCTGACTAGCTGTTTCTTTAATGCTGTTTGTTCTAGGCAATCTATAATTTTCCTACCATGTTTCTCATAATTCTTTTAGTCCTTGCCCATTGCCAAATTCCTAAGCCACTTCAACATTGTTAGGCATTTGTGAGAGCAGCACCCCATTTATGGGTACTATTTATGTTTTAGTTTCCTATTTCTATTTAAGATAGCATAATCACAGGTCTTTATCATATCATATTAATAAAAGAGAAAAAACACATGGTTTCTCAATAGACTAAAATGAAATGGGTGAACTCCAATACCCATTCATAATAAATATTCATAACAAACTAGAAATAAAAAAGAATATCCTAAACCTGATAAAACACATCTGTTAAAATTCTACAGCTAACATTATCCTTAATGGAGAAGGCTTGAACCGTTTTTTCTTAAACTGGAATTAGGTAAGAATACCTGCCCTAACCACTTCTATTCAACAACTTGTTAGAGGTTCTAGCCAGTGCTAAAACTATTAAAAATAACTTAACATCCTATGAAGATTAAAAGGAAAGAGTAAACCTGTATTTATAGATGACGTGAGTCTGTATCTAGAAAATTGCAAGGAATACACACATGCACATACACACACACTGTTAGAGCTAAAAAATGAGTTTAGTAAGGTTGCAGAATACAAGATGAATATAGAAAATTAAGTTGTATTTCAATATTGTAAGTATGTATAATCTAAATTGAAATTATGAAAGTAATTTCGTTAACAATAGCATAAAAATAAATTACTTAGGAATACATTTAACTAAGAAATACACAATTTGTATAAAGATACAAAGCATTGCTGAGACAAATAATAGGAGCTCTAAATAAATGGATAGACATTTATAATGGTAATTCTCTTCTGTCTACTGCACAGAAAGTTTTCTCATCCCACATTAGCCTCAACACTTTCTCCAATGTGGACTGCTACTGCTTCCCTGTGACACTAACATAGACACTATCCTCCCGTTGCTTGATCCAACAACTCATGCTGCTCTGCCATTCAATTTCAATGAGTAAACTTACCTTGATCAGCACAATGTAACTGACTGTAGACAGAATCACTTATATTCAGGAAGGATGTCAGAGAGGGAGAGATGGAGGAAGAGAAAGGAGAGAGAAGTGTTTCTTTTCTTTTAAAATTAGATATATATTTTTCTTCAAAGTCATCACCCAATGTCCCTATACGTAGGCTACAAGAGCACAATACTCCTATTTTCCATCTTGGTCATATCAAGATGGAATGTTGTATTTACTACCAAACATCACAGTTAAAGAGTATGAAGACAAAAGAGTGGTTAAAAGTATTGAACTTCTTTAGCCTGTAATTGTATGAAGACATTATCTTCAAACATTTGAAAGAATGTCATGTTGAAAGTGTGATAGTATTTTTTATACGTTGCAGAAAGAAAAAAGTAGTCTCAATGGAGAGGCCTTGACTGAAAAATGGTAATACCTAAGATTTTGTGTCCTGGAGTTCTTAGACAGAGACCAGATAGTCAACTTCCAGTTTGTTCAAAGACTCTTTGTTCTAGGATGGCAGGCTGTTGCAAGTTTCCTCTGACATTAATTCCATAGCCCATATGTTAAGACTATAACAATTAAAACATTCTCAACTAACCTTGAAATATTTGAAACGTCTAGAGGGAGTAATTTACTTAAAAGTTGTCAAATGCTGGTTCTATAAATGTTGGATGCCCGACTGATATTGATAGATGGCTCCTGAAACAATTTTCTTCACAGTCAGTAAAGTCATGAGTTTGCTTCCACACAGCAACATTAAGCTGTACGTCAATTTAGATGACATACATGTATGCCAGAGCCATGTCAGAATGGATAGTTCCCTTTAGTTGGTGATACAGACAGTTTCAAATCAATTCCTTGATGATAGCAATGGGGAGCAAAGAGATAACCAACTGTTGCCACAGGTCTTACATTTTCTTGGCAAATGAAAACACATACCCAGTCAGAAAAACCCTAAATGCTATAAAAATACCTTTACAATGTTGCAGCTTAAAAATGTATTTAAAATATATGAAAATTTCAAGCACCTGCATTTTCATTCATTAACTTTCAGGATAAATCAATAATAAAAGCAAGTAACATGATGCAGAGTAAATGAACTCAATTTAGTAAGCCAGTCATAATTGAGAAGCCTACATGTGCCTTATTCATGAATATGTCCAGTCTTTATACTAAAATATATCTTATTCTTGGAGCTAAGCCTTACTTTTACTTTATAACATAGTTTGAATAAATATAAAATAGCAGCCAAGTACACTTATATAAATCAGACAGACCTTAAAGGTTTTCACCATATGCACTGAGAAAGAAACAGGTTTACCAATTTATTCTGGCAAAGGTTAGAGCTTGAACTCTTTGAGAGGAAGCAAGCGATATTAAAGGCTGTTTGACAACCCACACTAATATATGAGTCATTAAATGATGGTTTTTTTAAGGTTCATAATTTAAATGAGTCTGCAATCTGATTAGGTAGCATTAAAAATGAGCTTTTAGCTGCTAATAAGCTTCCCCTTGGTTACACAGCCTGTTGTTTTTCTGAGGCAAAGAGAAGAGGGAGCTGCGTGAGCCACTGTTTGCAGTGTATGAATATGAGGACAAATGGGAAGAGGGCGTGGATGTTGATGAAGAAGGTTTGATTAGCAATTGGCAGCATGAAAACTTCTGAATTATTTTGCAAATTTAAAGAAAGGTTACACATGCAGTTGGTGAGCAGAATTATAGACACAAAAATAGAACTATCTGAAGAAGCAGACATTTTGTTTCCATGCATGTGATTTGGGTATTTTTGCATCTCTTTATCTTTAATCAAAACTCCAGGCTAGGATCTTGATACAAAGCAAATGAAATTGACTTGCATGGTGCTTGGCCATCAAGCAAATGTCGGTGGCATTTCCCCAGGCCACACCAGTCTCGGATAACAGTGGAATGACAATAAGTAACAGAATGTAAATGATAAGTGCAAAGCTTCAGCAGACTGTGAGAACACATGAGGTCACATTTAAGTTAATACTCCAAATCTCTACACTGGAGCCTCCACCTGTTTGACTAGCATAGGGAACTCTAGGCCATTCCAAGTATTCTTTTCCCCTAAATATTTGCAATACCCCAAACGTTGCATGTTGCTTTGGGATGTCTCAGCAATAAATCACAAATAAATTTACTAGCATTGTCTAAAACAAGAGGAAAAAAATGTTTTCTAATAAAAAGAACAGAGGTATTGTTGTTTTATCCCTTACTCACTAACATCATCAAGCACACAAATTCTGTCCATTGCTCACCCTACCATTACCAGAGGAGTGCCTTGGTGTATTAGTTTTCTGGGGCTTCCATGATAAAGTACTACAAACTTGGTGTCTTTAAAAAAGTAAAAATTATTCTCTGACTGTTTTAGGGGCTAAAAGACTGAAATCAAGTCACTGACAGGGCTATGCTCCCTCTAGGGAAGAATCCTTCCCTGCCTCTCCCCGGCTTCTGGTGGTTGCTGGTAATCCTTGATGTTCCTCAACTTGCAGCTGCATCATACTAATCTCTGCCTGATTGTCACATGCTTTCTCCCTGTGTCTCTGTGTGTCTGCACTTTCCTATTCTTATAAAGAATCAGTCAGCCGGGCGCGGTGGCTCACACCTGTAATCCCAGCACTTTGGGAGGCCGAGGTGGGCAGACCACGAGGTCCAGAGATCTAGACCATCCCGGCTAACACGTTGAAACCCCATCTGTACTAAAAATACAAAAAATTAGCCTGGCATGGTGGCATGAACTTGTAGTCCCAGCTACTTTGGAGGCTGAGGCAGGAGAGTCACTTGAACCCGGGAGGTGGAGGTTGCAGTGAGCCGAGATCACACCGCTGCACTCCAGCCTGGGCGACAGAGTGAGACTCCATCAAAATAAAATAAATAAAATAAAATAAAATAAAATAAAAGTATCAGTCATTGGTTGAGCTCCTGCCTTCCTCAAATATGGTCTCATCTCAGTGCGACTACATCTGCAAAAGGTCTTCTTTTCCAATCAAGCCACATATAAAAGTTTCTAAGTGGACGTGAATTTAGGGAAGATGCCTTTCTACCCAGTACATTTGTTCTCTCACTCTCTTACTCATATTTGAAAAATGCAGCAGCTGTTGCAGATGTCAGGTTCTCAACCCAACTAGATTCAGGGTCACAAAAGAACAGTTTGTATTTTTTTTTCTTGTTTTCAGAAGGAATAATCCATTCCCAAAAGGTTCACCAATTCCACCGGGTCTCCTTGGTGAGAAATGGTTGCCCTTACTAAACCATTAATTAGCCTGGAGAAAAAACAATTTCCATGACTGGTGTAAACTAAGCATATTTTCATTCCTGGATTATGAAAGGATTCATTTTTACTGAAGCACACAAGTACCAAATTCTGAACAGAATTAGTGTTCTTTGGCAAATAAGACTTGTGTGACAAAGAAGGAGTTTGAAAATGGCTGTTAAGTTGGCAATAAAAGTCTGTCATATTCAAGTTTCTTTACATATGTTAAGAGAACCAGTCCTGGCGATTCTCGTGACCAAAAAAAAAAAAAAAAAAAAAAAGCAATGAATCAGTTACATATTTCAGGTTTAGACTCTATAATTCCAATTCTTTATTAATTCTAATACACTCCCAATTGATTTATAATCCTCACATTGACTTGTCTCAGTTGTTTCGATCAGTGGAACCACCAGAGAACAGCCCAGGCTATGGATGCTCCTGCCTACACATTTGCCACTGATAAAAAACAAAACAAAACAAAAATACTATGAGTTTTTGCCTTTATCTTTAAAGACTTAACAGTTTGAGCCTGAATAGTCCCAGTTAATCACTCTTATAATCCTTTGTATAACTCTATGTGTTCATGGAATGTATGGTATTAAGGAATAAATTGTGTCCCCCTTAGATTCATATGTTGAAGTCCTAATCCCCAGTACCTCAGAATGTGACTGGAAACAAGATCTTTAAACAGGTATTTAAGGTAAAATGAGTTCATACTGGTGGGCCCTAATCCGATATGACTGGTGGCTTTATAAGAAGAGATGCATACGCACACATGCACATGTGCAGAGGAAGGAACGTGTGAGAACACAAGAAGGCAGTCATCTACAATTCAAGGAGAGGCCGCAGAAGAAACCATAGATGCTGGCGCATTGGTCTTGGACTTTCATCTTCCAGAACCATGAGAAAATGAATTTCTGTTGTTTATGCTACCCAGTCTGTGGTATTTTGTTATGGCAGCCCTAGCAAACTAATACAGACAGTTTCAGTGTCAGAGGGGCTGAGGACTCATATCAGCCATATGAGGTTAATGAATAACTCAAAGAAAGAAAGTCCTAGAGTTTTCAGATTTCTCGTGAATCTAATCTTTTACCACACATGCATGCACACACATAATCATACTTGTCAAGATGTGCGCTGGTACCAGAAAGGCTGATTCAGAACACACTTTTAATATCTGTCGTCTGCTACTCAGCTAAGTGGCAGTCCCCTTAAGAATCCTCTCTGTTAGTTTAATGAATCCTCATTGCCTGGATTATCTGTAACTTTTTCCCTCATCAGTAGACCGCTTGGCCAGTGCTCACTGGCAGATGCGCTAGTGACAAGCTTCCTGATGGCAGGATATGTCGTTGTTAAGTAAGCAAACACTAGAGTCACATTTTCTGTATTTGAATCTATTTTTCTAGGCATCGCTTTGGGCAGGTTACTTAAGACTTCTTTGTCTTTACCACATCATCTAAATAATGGGGATAACATAGCAGCTTACCTTACAGGCTTGTTAAGTTTAAATGACGTAATATGTATAAACATTTGAAGCTTCAAATGAATGGAAGCTAGAAATAATAGCAGCAACTCCCTCCCTCTGTTGAAGCAGCACTGCACTGTGGAGTGGTCGCGATAAGTTGGAAGGAATGGATGAGCTTCTCCCTGAACCTTCCTCACCTTGATGTCAAAGCAGCACAGTCCATGCTTGAGCTTTCATGATTACATCTCTCATTATTTGTTTTCTATACAAATTTTCTGTGCCTCTGTCTCTCACCTTGTCTCTTCTTCTACTCCTCTATCCCCATTGCTGTCTCTTAGCTCAAACCAATTCTTAGCACCGAGGAATGAAAGGAATAGATTACAGCTGCTTGTTTATTTAAAGTTGCAGTTGCTTCAACAAAGAGTTACTGATACACATAAGCATTGAGCAATGCATTGTGCTTGACTTGCAGTGAGAAAAGACACATTCCCCGCCGTCATGGAGATAACTCTCCAGCAGATGCTGTAAGCAATTAGCCGCCAAGAAGTACAAGTCCTATGGATGCATAAGGTATGGAATGAACTACTTCCTGTGTGGAGAGTTGGCTGTCAATAAGCCAAGCTAGGACAGGGAGGGGAGAGGATCCAGGCAGAAACAAAGTATGAGTGAAGGTCCTGAAACAACGTAGGGGAAGACAATTTGAGAAAATGAATGCCGACTAGTATGTCTGAAGCAGGGAGAGCTAGTGTCAAAGCACAAAAGGGTTCCAAAAGTCAACAAGGTCCTGATTCAACAAGACCCTGTAGGTCAAGTTAAGTACTTTAATCTTTATCTAAAGAAAAATTTAAGGCATTGTGCAATAGGACAACATAATTATACATGAGTTTCTAAGAGATATTTCGGCCGCAATACAGGTAGATGCTGGATTGGGTAACCGCAGAGAGGGAATGAAAAATGTTCACAGAAAGTCCAATTATGAAACTATAATAATATTTGAGGTGTCAGATGATTAGGTCATTTGCAGGTGGCAGATGGATGGATTTGAGATAAGTCAGCAAGTTTTTGTGACTGAATAAATTCTAGACTTAGAGCTCAAGTGCTGTTTGGATGGTTGTGCCATTTACCAAAGTAAACAGGATAAAGACAAGAATGGAGCAGGATTAAAGATGATGACCTCGGTTGAGCTTATGTACTTACTTATGTGTCTATTAATAATAGATATATAATTCTGGAGCTCAGAGGAGCATTTTAAGCTAGAAGACAAAATTTGAAAATATTTTTTACAGGAGAGACAGCTATCACTTATGAAAATGTAGTCAAGGTAGAGAATTTAAGTACAATCTCAAATAGTTGCTGTGAAGACAGAATTTAATCACAAGATGCACTTGGCTTAGTGTTTGATGGACAATTAGATGTCTTGCAATAATTGGTGGTTATTATCTTTATTTTTATTTATTTTCACACTAATATATGAGGTTAGTACTGATATTAATCCCATTTTACAGATTAGAAAACAGAGAGGTTAACATATTTGCCACCGTCACGCAATTAGTGAGACTTGGAGCCAGATTTTAGTCCTATATTCATGTTCGTTTAAATCCAGAGCCCATGTACAAACCTTTCTTTCTTCTTACAATGAATTCAAATCTATTTATTATCAGTGTAGTATTCCTTTGAGTATCAGGTTTTCTGAAAAGAGCCAGGCTAGTAAATAATCAGGTCATTCAAAAATTCCACTCCTGATATTGCCCATGAAAAACTGTATAAAATAGTTAAAGAGTTGTTTTAAAAAATATATATGAATTCACATTAACAAAATTGCCAGTATGCAAAATCCATGTGTTTTTAGCAAAATATTACAACTTTTATTACCCTGAAAGTAGTTGTTCAGTCAGATATCATTGGTTTGTAAGGTATCCTTGATTTAAAATGGAAGAATCAGCTCTTGAAACAAAGAGAGAAATTTGTTACATCTTTAGAATACTCATTTTGAGGCTCATCAAGGGAGCTCCTGGAGGGCTTCTGTGTGTGATGCATTTTTATTCGCAAAGAGTGAAGCTAAGCCCTGCATTGTCGTTTGCAAGGTACTTGTTTGAGTTATCTGGTGCTGAATTATGAGAGTAACTCCATCATATAAGTGTTATTGCTCTTTTTCTTTCTGGCTCTTTGCTCCTCTTCCCAGACTTTGCTAAGGTACTTCAGTGGCTATAATGAAGTGAATCCAAATTACTAGTTTGAGACCAGCAAGAGACCTGACTTGCAGACAAAATATTCTTTTAATATTTCACTGAACTAATCATCCTAAAGGATTTACTCTGCCTTTCATAAGCTCTTCCTTGGCTTTGATTTTTTTTCTCTTCGTGTGTCTTGGTTTAGCTAAAGGACGTTTCAAAATGTCGACCTGAATGTTTTAGTAAAGTTGTCACAAAATTTCCTTTTGTATATGTATTTAGTTGATGATTTTAAACTTATAGAAAATAGAACAAGACCGATCAGACTAGCCTTAACATTTTCCTGTTATATATAGACACACAAAATATACACAGTATGTTTTCTGTGACAAATTATTAGACTCTGACCAATATGCATAGTAAAAAGAAATGCATGAGGTTTCAATTTACTCTTCTATGGTAAGAAATATCACATTAGCTCACATGAAATTTTGTTAAGATATTAGAGCATAGAAACAATATTACACTATTAAAGAGCTTTAAGGACTATGAAAGGACAAACAGGAGGAGTGTTAGCATTTTATAGGATCAAATATATGTCACCGTCACCCTTAATTCCTCACCTATTTGAAACTTTTAAAATTGACACAGTAGTAACCCCAGTGGAGTTCAACCCATCACCTTTACATTGATGAAAACTAGATTATATGTCGTGACTTGATCTGTTAAGCAAGCGGACTTGCCAAAACTGTAGTGCTAAAGGAGTAGTCCCATTCAGGTATGAACACAGGTCAAAATCCACTGGCTTTTCGTAAGAATACTGCATCTATAAAACTCACCACACTAAACCACAGAAAATGTGTGTTTACACACAGGCATATTTCAAAGAGAAAAAACAAACAAAAAGAAGGGTGTGAATTAAGCAGGCTTAGTTCCTTCTTTCAAAGTGACCATTCCAACCAATCAATCTTCTTCCCTTAAACGGAAGGAGAGAGAAAGCAAACTGAGGTCAGCAATACTGCTGAAATGATGAGTCCTTCACCTGAAAACTTGAGGAAGGGCAAATAAATGTGCCCTTTAAGTAGGAGGTCACAAAAGGATTTACAAAACAGAGTGTCATAGTGTTTTGTTTCTGTTAGTAAATAGGTATTTTCCCTCAGTTAAAATGAAGGGTATTTTAACTCTAGACCTCATTTGAGTCTTGATTAAAAAAAAAAAAATGACTCAACTACTAGGAAGCCCTGAAGAATAGTTGTTAAATTTTACACTCCAATAAGGATTACAAGTTTCAAGTTCCCTAATGCTCAACACGCCATTCCTTATTTGTCAATAGGTGTCCATCCTGTCATTACCAATGGAATTAGGTATCCATAGTTGCCTCCATCCAGACCAGGGAAGTCTTGTCACCCAAATTTGCTGCTTACACCACACTCATTTGGCCACAGGTGTTTGCTTATCTGGGATCTATGAAGTAAGAACCACATATACCATTCCTAGTGAGGTAATATAACATGTTTTACACAAATTTCAGAAACTATAGACTAGAAAGCAAAGGCCACATGGATCACCTTCTAAATATATTCCACCCAGGCTGACCATTGTAATAAAAATATTCAAACTCAAATGATTAAATTAGCAATTATATTTCTTGCATTTAGAATATCCACATTGTGGTCACCTGGAATCTTTACATCTTCTAATATGTAAGTGCCTTCTAGTCTCACAGTGTTCACTTCCTGGTGGAAAAATGAAATTAGGTAAAGTGGCAAATGTTTTATACATGCCATGGGCAACAGGGATTCAGTTTAATTTTGTGATTTCTCTGGAGTTCTAACAATTATATACCTCAGTGGTAACCTATACTGGTTAATTTTATGTGTCAATTTGACTGAACTAAGGGAGGCTCAGATAGCTAGAAAATTATTATTTCTGGGTGTATCAGTAGAATGAGTGAAAAAGATGGCTCTCACCAGAGAGGACGGGCATCACCCAGTCTGTTGAGGGTCCCAGTTGAACAAAAGGCAGAGGAAGGGTGAACTTGTTCTCTCTTCTTGAGCGTGAACATTCTTCTTTTTTCCTTCAACATTAGCACTCCTGGTTCTTGGGCCTAAGGACATGAACAAGAACTACCTTCCTAGGCCTCTGGCTTGCAGAAAGAATATTGTGGGGCATCTCAGGGTCCATGAGAGTGTGAACTAACACTCATTATAGATATAGATATATAGGTAAAGATATAGATATAGATAGACATAGATATATACAGATATACATAGACCCTACTGGTTCAGTTTTTCAAGACAACCCTTATGAATACATAACTCCAAGGCAATTTTGTACAAAAAAGACCACCCTGTTTATTTTATCATTTTGATCTGCTGGTATTTGATATGCCTTCCAAAGAGGAGGAGAAACACACAAATTTGTTATGTATAGGTGTTTTAGCATAGGGTTACACCCTTTAACATTAATAGTTTATGCATTAACTCTTAACCAAAGGATACATCTTTTCTACCTTTCTTTCATCTTTGCTTTATGTCCAGTGTCTCCTGCCTCTCTCCACCTTGCATTGTCCCAACACATACATACCTCACTAAAAATGAACACAAGGAAGTTTCCTATCTAAATTTGACTGAGCTCCAGTAAGTGGCAACTGACTTTTTCCAAGTGTAGATAAGGGGTAATAAATCAGATATATGTCTTAAAAATACACTCTAATTCATTTTTGTTTATTCTAAATTTTCAGTAAAAGCTAACACCACCCTGAAGTTTTGTGTTGTTGTATTGTAATGGGAAGAAATTTATGAGCCCATGAAAGAGACTGAGCCATACTCTGATAACACTACTATCTTTCCCTGAAGCCCTGTTTGTATGGCACAGTCTCACCAAGGTGGAATTGGCATGCATCTGTCCTTCATATACATGAGTGGAATGAAGAGAAACATCCTTCATGGTGGGGGAGAAATATAATATTTGGAAGAGAGGTCTTCCAGTGAAAAATACAAAAAACACTGTAAGACAACCTCCCTCTCCCATACAAACGAAAGAAAATAGTACTTTGAATAGGAGGGAAAGTATAATTACAATGCCAATGTATAATATACATAATGTGTTTCACTAAAAATAACTATTTAGAGTGCTTAGCTCTAGAGATTTGGGAAAATTGTGTGAACCAAAGAGACAAAGCTTATTAAAGCCTGTACAAAGAGAATAAAACAAAAGAATCTATTGATCGTTATGCAAACTTTGTTTGAAACAGAAACAGAACCATGTTATCAGAAGTCAATAACTTCCTGGCCATGTTGAAGTGAAATAAATAATCTTAAAAAGAGTGAAGTTGTTATTACTTTCACAATAGAGCCTGTGAGAAACTTGAAACAGAGGAAAAGTTTTACCATGAATGGTGTTACCAGAGATCCCTATTTATGGTACCTATTCAGGAGATCCATCGCTATGCATCCCTATGCAAGGGTCCTGGTTTTCACCTATTTTCCAATATCTATCAACAGTGCCACTTCCATTCTCGGTAGTCTTGGTTTGAATAACAAATGACATGATCACTCTAAATACAACCCTATACCTCTGATGAGACTAAAATATATCTCAGTGCCCTAGACGAACTTTGGGATCCAAGGCTCCATACTTGGTTATCTACTCCAGATAAAGATGAGACCTTCTTTGGTCCAAAAGACAATCCAGTGTCAATAAAGTCAATAGTCTGTTTCTCCATCTCCTGCAACTGCCTGAAGCCCAAGATAGGTTTTTGACTTCCCCCAGTGGAGTAGAAAAGTCTTGCCCAAGTCACAGTTGGGCCTTAATAGGCATGAGTCTAGGTTCTGAAGGCTATCTGACAGCAGTAACTAAGTCACAGTAAAAATTTAGACTTGTTTTTATTTAAATTTAGATTTGTTTCTGAAAGTCAGGCTCTGGAAAAGTGGAACATCGTCATTTATCAACCATACCACCTGAGTTAGGTGGAAATAGCAAAATCATTCATTCTTTTTTTTTACTCATTTGCTTTTTCATGGAAAAACATTTGTGAAACATTACTGCATACTATGCTATGCTGTCCTCAGATATATATCAGTGTCAGCAAAAATAATTTATGATCTTACCATGATCCTGACTCTTCACTGGGAACCTGAAGTGTTTTCTTGAAGGAGAGTGGAGAACTGCAATTCTGAAAGTTACATGGGGAGCTTTAAACAGGAAATATTTTGTTCTTATCCTTCAAATTTTTGAAGTCTGGGTTATACAAATTCTATATATACACAAAAAGAGAGACTAAGAAAAAAAAGTTAGAGAAAATTACACGTCATTATCATGAAACTACAAAGAAGGTAAGGTGTATTTTGGTACTATCTTGAGTACCACTGTCTTGAAGATTCAAACTATAAAGCAAGAGGCCACCAGACTTCCACTTCTATTTTGTATCATCATGTAAATATTACTTCAATTTTTTTACTGATCAAACAGAATCAACCTTCCTATTAGAGAACATTTTATTAGAAAATGCTTTGAATATGCACTTGGTGAATGGTTGTTATATACAGACAATAAACAAAACCTGGCATTCACAAAGGCATCAGGCATTCTAAAAACTCCTTTTCTGAGCCTATCTTCCTAATAGTTCCCATTATCTACTGCGTGTTTGACTTCACACACATCAGCATATTCATTTTACAGCCCCCTTTGTAAACATTCAAACTCCACTCTGCAAACTTTCAACTCACATTTTTATTTGTGCATCAAACACATCAAAGAACAAAAGATCTGTGGGAAAATTATGCACCACCACATAACTCCTTTTGTCAGAGCATAGAGCCTAAATAAGTATCCCTAGAGTCTTTTATCCAAAGCTTTGCTCCAAAAATGAATTATACCTCCCACTTCCTCATCTTCTACTGTCACCTACTTTGCAGTTTATCTCCTTATTTGTACTTTTCTAAATTCTGATGATATAAAGAAAAAGGAAAAAAGAAATAAGCACA